>NC_000006.12:60000-211515 GCF_000001405.40 Homo sapiens | reverse complement strand
AAACATTTCCTGGGCACCTACTCCAGAAATGAAAGGCATGGATGGGGCAGCCACCTAACAAGAGGCAAACACTATCGCCTGGTCTTTTTTTACTAATTAGAGCAGAACGCTTTTGTATCAAAATAACTGAATTATGAAACCAGCTGTGCAAAAATCCTAAGTGAGACACAAAGATTTTTCAGACTCATCAGTTGCTGTCACCATTCAAGAAAGCCATTGCCTTAGGGACCTTGCAGATTTCACCATGAAATAGGTAAATATGAACTCATCTCCACGTCTTTCCCACTGACGCAGTAGCCCGCGCTCCTGGCCCTAGAATGAAATACGACCCACGGATGCTGAGTGCCCCTGTCTGTGTACAGCCTGAGCGGAGCCACAAATACACTCTGTCTTCAGCAATCCATCTGAAATCAAGGAGAGAGGACCAAGATGTGGGAAATAATTAAACAAAGTGCAAAGAAAATAAACAGCAGGAGCAGCTTGGGCTAGCTGCGGGTGGTCATTCCAGAGGGCGTGCAGCCCTGGAGCTGGCAGAATGGGATTCAGAAGGATGGAGAAGGGCAGGAGGACTACACCATGGTGGAATGGCCAGGGCTGCTGAGGGGAGAGGGCCGCAGCTGAGGGAACAATGCCTTTGGCCTCCGCGTGGTGTGAAGGTGAGCATGGCCATGCAAGTGCTGCAACAGCAACAAATCCTGTGTCACTGCATTATTAAATAGTACTCATTTTCACTAACGGAGGAAAGAGGAACACACTGGTTAATTCCCTATGTTGTGTTCCAGGGAGCTGGGCACAGCTGGCATCATATCATCAGGAGACTCTCCACACATTCCAGGCACTTAGAGAAATGGGAAACGGCGCAGGGTGGGTGGAGAAAAGGAGAAACGAACATGTTCAAAGGATCCGCTCACTTTTCTATATCGCTAACAGGTCAAGCCATTTGTTTGAGCAGAGGCATTTTGGGGTCTATGATAAGCAGAGTGAGGGCCCGAGTTGAAGACAGTGGGAGACTGAGGGAGGAGAGGAAGGGCATCTTAAGGCAGGGGGCCCCCGGGCCAGGGCCCCCCAGGGAAAGCCTGGGCAGTGTGTGACTCGGCCTCTGAGCCGTCCACTGCGAGAGCCTCTCAGCTGAATCCTTGATATTTTGCAACACACGTAATATCATGGCCAATGGTCTGAGGGTGTGGGATTCACTCAAGCTGGGGGTGACTTCCACATTTGGGTGTGTGTAGAGGATGAGGACAGACTGGGAGCCAAGACCCCAGGAAGTCTGTCATGCAGGGAGCACAGGTGTGGGCACCTCGGCCCCTGAGGGTCCCTCCCGACATCTGGAGTATAAGGAACCCAGCATGAAACAAACCTCAGGAACCAGGGAGACCTTGGCCGCACTTGGGCCTTCAATACATGAATGTGGAAGAGCCTCGTACCATTCAATTATTACTCACATGAAGCAACTGCTGCGCTGTCGTTGCTGTTTTTGCTTGTACCTGTCCCGCCCCTCCCCCAGCAAAGTCAGTTAGAAGCAGACGCTGCTCAGTAACCAGTGGTACTTTCATTATTGATGGCTTGGTTTCATGCTATCTGTGATCTCCTTCCCTTTCTCTTTTTACTGATCTCACCGGTATTTGAAAATTGGTACACGATGTAGCTGACTACACCGTAGTCAATTTTTTGATTTCCCCATCCACCAAGAAACGCTCCCTTACGGGTCAAAAAGCAATTCCCCGGCTCTCTTCCCTTTTCCTGCGCACCGGCAGGCAGCCTTTCCTGCTGGTCCCAGTGCTTCTCGGAGGGCACCATCACGCGCCGCCCTGGCCTCGCCCACGCAGGGCTCTGGAACGGCCCTGTGGCTGAGGCCAAGGGCACCCCTCCAATGCCCACTGCCCTGCTGATATCCCCGACACCGCCCACCTCTCCACCTTCCACGCTGCTCCGCCCTCCTCCGCCACACACACTCCAAACCTGCAGTATTCTGAGAAACGCTGATTCACGTGTCAATGGGGGGTATAGGAAGAGAGATGAAGATAGTCAAGTTTCCATTCTCAAAATTCTCAAAATTCAAAGGAAAACACCATTGAGGTAGCTTATGATTATTGGCACCTTACAGACTGGGAAACTGAGGCTCCTTCTGCCAAGGACGAGGGGCAGGAGGAACCAAAGGTCTGCAGAGAAGACAGAAAGCTGCCAGCGCCTCTCCAGGGCCTTGATGGGGAGCTGGTGCTCGGCCCCAGCAGCCCTGGGGCAATCTCTAAAGCAGAGAAAGAGAGGTGCTTCATGAAGAGGTCTTGGGCTTTCTTTAGAATTCAGCCCTTCCCCTTTCTTCTTCCTAGGGGACTCCCAGCATAGTTTACCCTGGGAGCCCTGACTGTGTTGCAACGGGCTCAGGGTAGAGACCCGGTGACATGGAACCAGCCAGGCAGCAACCTATGCCTGCAAGTGAGTGTGGAGAAGAAGGAGGTGCAGGATCTGCCGCAAGGAGGGGCGCTCAGCATCAGTCTTGTGAAGTCATCAGTGTGCTCCGCTGTCCATGTAGCAGCAGTTACACCAGCCAAAGAGAGAAACAAAGTCAGGGCATGTGTACGTGCCCCGGTGCCCTTTTGGTTTCCGTTAGGCACCTTGCTCAATTTCCTGATAAACAAAACAGAGCCATCTGTGACTCTTCCAGCACACCTCCACTTTTAGGGAATTTTTAGGGATTTTAGGTCCCAGAGAGGAGAAACAGAACAGGGGAAGAAGTGCCCGATCGGTGTTAGGGGCCATGGTTCGAGGTCCTGCTTGTGTGACCTTCAGCAAGTTACCTTCCCTGTTTGCTTCCATTTCCACACCTGTGCAACAGGGCTGCGCTCTGTCTGAGAGACTAGAGGGTCACGTCGGATCATGAATAGCGTTTGGAACTGCTAAACACGCATTCAGTAATCTCATTTGTCAAGGATGGGAGCTCAGACCACAGGGCCTGTCTGAGACACAGCTGGGAAGTTTTTTTCTAGTTTCCCTTTTCTGAAAATCTGCTCCCACTCGGTGGTTTCTCCTGCCTACCACTGGCACCCAGCGTCTGGATATGTTGCCTACTGCACTGCCTACCAAGAACGCGTCAACGTTATCCCCATGTTGTGTGAGAGCAGGAAAAGAGGGTCTCCATCTTCGAGCTGAAGAGTCTTTCCCAGAGTGGATGTGCAGCCACCACCTGCCCAGGGGGTATTTTCCCAGAGCATCATTTCTACTCTACAAAGAATTTTAAATTTTGTGGGGTTTATTTTGTTTGTTTGTTTGTTTGTTTTTTGAGATGAAGTCTTGTTCTGTTGCCCAGGCTGGAGTGCAGTGGTGTGATCTCGGCTCACTGCAACCTCCGCCTACTGGGTTCAAGTGATTCTCCTGCCTCAGCCTCCCGAGTAGCTGGGATTAAAAGCATGGGCCATCAGGCCTGGCTAATTTTTGTATTTTCAGTAGAGACGGGGTTTCACCATGTTGCCCAGGCTGGTCTCGAACTCCTGGCCTCAGGTGATCTGCCTACCTTAGCCTCACAAAGTGCTGAGATTACAAGCATGAGCCACTGCACCTGGCCAAATTTTGTTTTTATATTTAAAAATACCTGGACATATGGCCAGGAGCAGTGGCTCATGCCTGTAATCCCAGCACTTTGGGATGCTGAGGCGGGTAGATCATTTGAGGTCAGGAGTTCAAGACCAGCCTGGGCAACATGGTGAAACCCCATCTCTACTGAAAATACAAAAATTAGCTGACTGTGATGGTGGGTGCCTGTAATCTCAGGTACTCAGGAGGCTGAGGCAGGAGAATCACTTAATCCGGGAGGTGGAGGTTGCAGTGAGCCAAAATCATGCCACTGCGTGATCTGTCCAGCCTGAGCGACAGAACAAAACTCTGTCTAAAAACAAAAACAAAAAACCTGGACATACCAGAAAATAAAATGCAGAGGTCATTAACATTTTTAGCTTTTCTTTTCTTTTTTTTTTTTAAGGAACCTTAAAGAAATGCTTGTGTTTAAGACAAACAGGCACTCCACATGATTCCCCTAAGCTCTGACGATGTTTATTTGGGTACAGCCTCCTCAGTTTATTTGCCTGGGGAGGAAACTAAGGCCCAGAGAAGTGAAGAGACTCTCCCTCCTCATGGCTCTGTCCTCTGCGAGGAAGAAGCATGGACGTTGCTGTCACTTTGTCTCCAACGCACCCTCAGTGCCTAGAACAGTGACTGGTACCACTCCCTGGCATCACTCACTAAGTGCAGGTTGAGTGTCCCTTATTTGAAATACTTGGAACCAGAAGTGTTTCAGATTTCAAATTTTTTTTGATTTTGGAATATTTGCAGAATTCATTCTGGCTGAGCATCCCTAATCTGATATCCAACATCCAAAACGCTCCAGTGAGTGCCTTCTTTAAGGGTCGTTTTGGTACTAAAACAGTTTTGGAGCATTTTGTATTTTTGGATTAGGGATGCTTAACCTGTATTTACTGAATAACTCAATTAATTTTAAGAGGCGAAAGGACCCATAAAGCCTCTGAGTTGCCTAGGAAGTGGCCACATTAACTCCAAGGATGAGGCGGACACCTTCTCGGGGCAGGATCGAACTGTTTCTGATCTTCAGCATCTGGCCCCATAAAATGAGAAGGGTTTTGCCTTGGGGTGAAACTGACCCTGGCATCTCCCTGGAGATGAAAAGCTCCTTATTTCCTAAAGATTCTTCTCAGAGCCAGAGGAAGTATGCTGAAATAGTCACAGTGATCATTTCTCATGAAGAGATATGAGTTTTACCCTCTTTTTAACTTTCTTCCTAATTTTTAAATAATAAGGTTGTATCACTCACAAAATAAGAATAACTTTATAGCACTCTGTATACATACATATATATGTGTATATATGTGTGTGTGTATGTATATATATATGTGTGTGTGTGTAAAGTCAGCAACAACAAGCCTTCCCCAAAGCGGCACACTGTCTGCATTTCTTCAGTGCCAACGTGAGGCACTTATGGGCATCCCCAGGGACTTGTGCGCCAGGCAGCTCCCATCGGCCCCGACGGCCAGTCCTGCCCACATGTGTGACATATATGGTGCTCCCAGACCTCCAAGGTTTGGTAAGAAAGAAAAACACTTGGACAACACACAGCCAGGCCGTGAACGTCACTTAGAAACGGGACCCATAAGAGCGACCTTCCCTGCTTCTCACGAGCCAGTGCATGCCCACACCAGTCCAGGCCTTTTCTTCTTCTACTGAGTGCTGCTTCCCGTCTCAGCTGATAGCACCACCACTCGTAGGTGAGTCCCTGTTCAACAGAACTCAGAGCTTTGCATCCATGGAGTGCCATGAACAAAAGTCACCGGTGTTTCTTAGGGAGAGAACTGCTTTTGCTCAGGGTCAGGATGCCCCACCTGCTTGGGGTGGGGAAGTTGAAGCTGGAGGAAGAGCTGGCTGCTCTGCAGAAGTTCAGAGGAATTGGAAGATGGGGCCAGGGAGGATGTGAGGAAGGGGAGGAAGGCAGAGACGGTGCAGGTGACTCAGCAGGAGGCTGGAGTCTAGAGGGAGAAGCTCCTTGACTGGGGTTGCTGAAGGGGTTTTAGAAATGAGGCTGTCAAAAAACATCACAGCTGCCTACTGCTTAATTTCTAGCTGACTCTGTGTTTCTAACCGTCTGTAGAGACTCCACACAGATAAAGCCCCTGTGCCACGGATTCTAGGGGGACGGGGCAAGAAGCCCAGTGCCAGGGTAGGAAGGAGGCCTTGGGAGGGGAGGCTGAAGAGTGAAAACTCAGGAGCAGATGCCGGGAGGCAGAAGTGACATCTGAACACACAGCCTCCGAGACAGTCCCTGGGTGGGAGACACTGAGGTTTCTGTTGTGCGCTGGATACGGCTTAAGCCTAATTTTACCTCAAATTTCAAAGGCCAGGGCGATCCAAGCTGATATTTGAGTTCCATTACCAGGCATATTCCTTACAACAAGAAGAATGTAAATTCTGTGGAAATTCTAGAACTTCTTTTTTACATTTAAACACAATTCCTTTGTTCCCATATCCTGAAATCAGTAAATTTAAGCAATTTTATTTTTCATTCTGTGCTTCAGGGATCTATGAGGGTCAACACATATTTATCACACGCTGACCTTGTGCTCAGGCCTATAGGAAAATGAACCTCCCTGCCCGCAATGACCTTAGAACCTAACTAAGGATATGGTTAAAACAAGCGCAGGATTGGGTGAGACCTGCTCAAGGGTCAGGCGCTGGTTTGTCGGGGAGAAATGTTGCCCAGGAAGGACAGGTGTGAAAGAAAGAGAAGATCCTGCAAGACCGGAGGGCCCAGGAAAGTCTGGGGGACTCAAAGGAGAGTTTCAGGATTGACCATGGGTGGACAGGGCTCTGCAGACCAGGATCTTTTCTATGCACACTTGGGGCCAGAAAGTTCTTTGTGGTGGGGGCTGTCCTGTACAATGCAGGAAGCTCAGCAGCATCCCTGGCCTCCACCCACTCAATGCCAGTGGCACTCCCTCCCTAGTTGTAAATGTGTGCAGACATTAGTACTTGTCACCTGCAGGGAAGAATCACCCCACTGAGAACCACATGCTGAGTCAAGGCAACAGCATAGGAATTGGAGCACGCAAGAGAGCTGGTCAACACAGGTGAGCTCTTGTGTGGGCCTCTCTATGGGCCTCCAGCCAGTCCCCAGACAACTCTGCTCTGGGCACCAGTGGCCACGTTCTCAGGGCAGGCACTACTGGTGATCATTCTACTCACACCTCTCTCTGGCATCAATGGCCTGATTACACACTGGGGATAGTAGGTAGTAGGTATATTTAGAGGGGCACAAAAATAACCGTGGCTGCCAAGCCAAAAAATTCAGAATTGCTCTCCTTAGTACAGGTTTAATATCGCTAATCTGACTTCAGAGTTTTGGATTAGGGATGCCAAACTGGTAAGTATAATGCAAAGATTCCAAAATCCAAAAAATCTGAAATACAAAACACTTCTGGTGGCAAGCATTTGGGACAACAAAGTGTGGTATATTTCTGATGAGATTTTGTCGTGTTTCAGAAAAATTAATTTGATAGTGATGTGCCCAATTGAATGCAAGGAAGGAGCAGGGTTTTCTGACCTGGTGATTGTGGATACGCCTCAGGAGGCTGATGACAATGAAACTGCGCCATCATTGTGTGGGTTCATTTGCTTTTCTGAGGAGGGATTCCATAGATTTCATCCGACACTCCACAGGTTGAGAGCTCTTGGATTCAACTGGTGCCCAAACACAAGACAGGACCACCAGTGCATATTTGAATAGGACAATCCTTCTGCCCATCCATCTGGTCCCTGCTTCCACTTCCCACAAGCAAACATCCAGTCCACAAAACTCATTGAGCAGCTGCAGTGAGCTGTGTGCCAAGCATGTGCCAGGGACTGGAGCTGCAAAGAGAGATGGAGGCCACAGGGAAGAGGCCACGAGATAGTCAGTTGTCTCATGAAGTAGAATACAGGTGAAGCCAGATTATCACAAGCCATGAAAACCTTCTGGAGGTGACGTCTGAGCTTTGTCTTGCCAGTTGATCTCGCTAGAATACATACGAAGTAAAGAGGGGCCTGGAATTGCTGGTGGCTGAGGAAATGGGAGAGGAAAAAGCATGCCGGACAGTCACGGTGCAGGAAGCCCTCATCACTACTAAGACTTACTGACTAATCGCACACGGGGGAAGGAAGCTTGGGTGGCCGTGAGTCAAGGATCCAAGCCTGGAAGCCTGCAGACAATACTGACTGGGGTTGGCAGCAGAAAGGGGAGGACGTTTTGAGTGGGAAGACAATGAGTTTTGGTTTTAGATATCTTGAGTTGAAGGCAATGAGAGGATACCCAGAGACTATTCAGAACATCTTGAGAGGAACTGGGAATACAGGACTGCTGCTGGGGACATGTCAGGGAAAGAGGTGGGCAGAGAGGAAATGGGTCTGTTTTCTCAGGGGCAGTGAGGGGCACCGTCGAGCCAGCCTTCCACAGCTCTGGTTTCTCTGGGCACTTTCTTTCATGGGCTTCTTTGTGGGTCACAGACATGTTCGGTGGGGAGAAAAATCTCAGTAGAGCAACCTTCATTAAAGTTTCGGGTTCCAGGTTTGAATGAGTAGTTGGGTGTTGAGCAGGATCCTTCCCCGGAGTGATGAGGGGGAAGGGATGTTCAAGCACTGGGTGGAGGGTAGGCACATTCTATGTTTTGATAGAACCTCCTAGTCACATTCACCCCCATTGTGATGCCAGCCAGTGGTCCTCAAAACGTAGTGTCCATGAGAACCACTGAGAGCTTGTTAGGAAAAGCCATCAGCTCAGCCCCACCTCCCTAGAGATTGTGATGTTTAGGTCTGAGGTGGACTCATATGGGTTGTGTTTGTTTGTTTACTTTTTACACAGTAAATTTGGCTTTGTGGAGGTCAGTGGTGGAGTGTGCGGGTTTTATGAATTCTAGCACAGGGAGTGGATTTGTGTAACCACCACAATGCATGCAGAAAAGTTCCACCAGCCCAACAAGCTCCCTTAGCTACCGATTTCTACTCACACCTGACCCCACCTCACTCCCTTGGTAAACACAGGGCTTTTCTCTGTCACTATTGGTTTTTTATTTTCAAGTCTGGAATTATACAGTGTGTAACATTCAAGCCTGGCTTCATTCACTTAGAATAATGCCTATGAGATTCATCTGAGTTATTGTCTGTATCAATGGTTTGTTCCTTTTTAGTGCTGAGTAGTGTTCCATGGTATGGATGGACCACAGTTTGTCAGTTACCCAGTTGAAGGACATCTGGGTCCTTCAAGGTTTTGGCAATTGGAATCTGCCTTTAAACAAGCCCACTAGATGATTCTGATGCAAATGGTCCCAGATCACACAGTGCCCTAGGTTGTGCACAAATGCGAATACTTTTAACTTTGGCTGATCTGATCAGTGGGAGTATCTTATTATCAGATTTGCATATTTCTGATCGTCAGGAGGGTTGAGAATTTTTTAAAATCCTTATTGGCCATTTATGATTCTTCTTTGAATTGCCTACTCTTATGGTAGCTACACCAGGCCAATCTGGTTCGACTTTTATGTAACAAAGTTGTGAGTTGTTGTTCAGTTGCCATGGACCCTCAGTTCACATAGCCTGAGCACACCCAGGTAAACAAAGTGTGCAGCCACAGGGCAAACCTAAGTGCTCAGACTGAGAGCCAGGGACTGAATTAAGAAGAGGACACTGCATGCCTGGATTCAGGATCCAGGATCCAATCGGATGGAGCTTTGGCCTCACCCCATGGCAAGATCCAGTCAGGTTGTGCCACCAGGCATCACCTCATTGCAATATCCAATCAGATCACATGTCATTACCCTTTGCTTATAAAACCTGACCTGGCCCTTGGCTTGGGCAGGTGCTGATTTGGGAGCTATCGCTGGTCTCCTTGCAAGTAGTAAAATTTCCCTGCTAAATCCTCTGCGGGTGGTTGTCCTCCACCAAGTGACCAAGCCCACCCATTGTGTGGATAACGATATCTTTTGCCTTGTATTTTTTTTTTTTTTTTTGGTAGCCAAATTGTTTTGTTTTTCATGGTGTCTTTTAGGAGCTCTTTTATGTTAAGGATCTTAACCCTTTGTTGTAAGTATTTTTTCACAGTCTGCTGTTTTTCTACTGTTTCTTGACCTGTTGAAAAATAACAAGCACGGCCCACTCTGACCAAAATTCCTAGAACCACAGCCTGCAGATGAGAGTCCAACAAAGGCTTAAGAATAGCATGATCTGTTTGGATGACTAAATTTTTGCCTGCTTGTTCAACAAGGTGTTCAATATAAACTCAACCTTAAAGGCACAGTCTGCTTTCAGCTGTATTCACTTTGGTTCTGTGAATCACAGGGTCCTTTACTTTTTATTGTTCCAGCTGTTTTCCTGTTTTGGGCAGAGCTGAAGATTGTTTTGATTGTTTATGAACCTAAAATTCAGAGAAATTTCAAACCCTTCACAGGCATGTTCTGACAGTAGATGGGAGGACTTTTCCTAATGTGAAGTCTCACTTTTTTTTTCCTAATCAGCTGTTAAAATAACCTTCAGTCAGCTGGGCATGGTGGCTCACACCTGTAATCCCAGCACTTTGGGAGGCCAAGGTGGGTGGATATGAGGTCAAGAGATAGAAACCATCCTGGTCAACATGGTGAAACCCCACCTCTACTAAAAATACAAAAATTAGCTGGGTGTGGTGGTGGGCACCTGTAGTCTCAGCTACTCAGGAGGCTGAGGTAGGAGAATCACTTGAATCCAGGAGACAGAGGTTGCAGTGAGCCCAGAACACACCACTGCACTCCATCTGCCTGGCAACAGAGCGAGACTCTGTCTCAAAAAAATAAAAATAAAAAAATAATAATAATTTCTCAACCTGGAAGACATAATATCTCATTTACCCAGCACATAAGTGCGTTTTTTAATTAAGAGACATGACTTGAGAAACAATGCATTCTTTTAAAAATTTGACTCATGGCTGGGAGTAGTGGTTCATATCTGTAATCCCAGCACTTTGGGAGGCCAAGATGGGCAGATCACTTGAGGCCAGGAGTTTGAGACCAGCCTGGCCAACATGGCAAAACGACATCTCTACTAAAATTAGCCAGGCATGATGGTGCATGCCTGTAATCCCAGCTACTCAGGAGATGGAGGCAAAAGAATCGCTTGAACACAGGAGACAGGTTTAGTGATAGTGCCAGTGCACTCCAGCCTGGGTGACAGAGGGAGACTCTGTCTCAAAAAAAAAAAAAAAGAAATTTAATTTATTTTGATGGTATTCTTTCTAAAGTGCTTTAACTACTTTTATGTGTCTCAGAAGATACTAAGCACAGTTTAATCCTTTCTTCAAAGGTTTGAGATATTTTTCAGTGGAAACATTCATTTTAACTGGGCACTGACCAAAGTGTGCTCACCTCTGGCTGCCAGTTCATCCTCTATGCACCCTGCCACCACCAGTGGGCCCCGAGTGTCCTCGATGCTTCTCCTCATGGGAATAAGTTACCTCTTTTCTCTCTTCTCCTTCCTCTTCCTCATCAGCTGTTGCTTCCTCAGAATTTCCTGCTGCATGGGGTGCTGTGGCTTCTGATGGCTCACAGTTGCTGTTCCGTGGCTGGCTCTGTGACCTCCAGCCCCACATCTCAGCAATCCCAGGAGCAGTCGGTAGTGATGCTCCATCCCTACCCCTAGGCTTGGCGCTGTGTCAGTGGCTGCCTCTCTTTAGGAAAGGATATCATTGTCCATTCCTTGTTTCATTTGATCAAAATCATGTATCATCTACCAATCCCAGGCAGTAGGTGTCGGGATACAGGGGTCAGACCTTGCCCTCAGTGGCCTAGTCAAGAATAGATGCCCTAACTTAACAAGAATGCCCTTGACCCTGTCTAGGTACAAATCATATCTCTTCTGGTCTCACCGAGGCAAGTGCTAGCCCTCCATCCTTTCCCACGAAGCATTCCCAGCCTGTGTTTCTCCCTGTGTCCAGACTGCCATCATCTGCATAGGAAACCAGGCAAAGGCAGTGGTCCTAAGGGAGAGTCAGTCTCCACCTGTGTGCATGGGCTCTGGACCAGACAGCAGCTCAGGGAACACCGTCAGCTGTGGGCCTATCTCATTAGAATTGCCATATGGCTTTCATATGTTTAAAAGGACACCGTGGTTCCAGAATTGTTTTCTGAAACTTATAAATAGTGCAGTTGTATTATAGAGGTCAATGGCTCTTATGTGCTGATCTGAAAACAAAACCATTACTTCTATTATTATATCTAAGAGAAAATTATGGAGAATTACAAGTACCTAGCTTATAAGTTACATATAGAATGCCTCATATTAGGAAATTGGGTAATGTTTGAAGTGTACTGTATTTTAATGACATAGGGGCCAGGAAGGTATAGGATCAGCTGTGTGAATAGTTCATAGTTCATCGCCTTAGACTGTTCAGTCTTTTGAGGTTTTTTTTGAGACAGTCTTGCTCTGTCGCCCAGGCTGAAGTGCAGTGGCACGATCTTGGCTCACTGCTGCATCCTCCACCTCCTGGGTTCAAGTTATTCTCCTGTCTCAGCCTCCTGAGTAGCTGGGATTACAGGCACGCACCACCATGCCCAGCTAATTTTTGTATTTTTAGTAGAGACAGGGTCTTACCATGTTGGCCAGGCTGGTCTTGAACTCCTGACCTCAGATGATCCACCCACCTCGGCCTCCCAAAGTGCTGGGATTACAGGCATGAGCCACCACGCCTGGCCACTTTTTTAGTTCTTATGCCTAATCTTTAAAAATTGTTTTTATGTAGGTCCTCACTTTCAGCTGCCTCCTTTTTCCCCCTAAATTCAGCATTTGCATCTCTAGCAGCCTTCTTTTTAATTATCTTCCACTGGCGTTTGGCTAGTCAGCAGGAATCTTGAGCTTGCTAGAACCGTGCACACAGTAAATAGATTCTGAGTGAAGGCAGGACTGGCTGAGGAGCAGTGTCCACACTTTGTTCCATCTATTTTTCTTTTTTCTTTTCCTTTTTTCTTTTTGAGACAGTCTTGCTCTGTTACCAGGTTGGAGGGCAGTGGTGGGATCTCGGTTCACTGCAACATCCACCTCCTGGGTTCAAGCAATTCTGCCTCAGCCTCCTGAGTAGCTGGGACTACAGGCACGCGCCACCACACCCAGCTAATTTTTGTATTTTTAGTAGAGACGGAGTTTCACCATGTTGGCTAGGATGGCCTCAATCTCTTGACCTCGTGATCCACCCACCTCAGCCTCCCAAAGTGCTGGGATTACAGGCATGAGCCACCACACCGGGCCCTGTTGCATCTATTTTTCTATTCAAAGCTCTTTTACTCCTGAATTTGTAACTGAGTTTCAAATACTTGAAATTGCCACTTAACATCCTCCCTGAAATTTTTTTTTTGTAGGCCATTCCAATTCATTATATTAACAATTTCTGACACATGTTTGTGAGTTCTGTGTGATACCATTACCTTTTCCATGTTTTGAACTTCCCCCTTTCTAGAGAGATGAGCTTCAGGGGCTGCTGGATGTACTCCACCTGGAAGCAGAGGCCGAGGACCCCTCCTCCTGGACTAGGGCTCACCTCGCCTCCTGACTGTATTCTGCCTGTGTTCTCCTCCAGTCCCACCCTTATTTCTCTTTGTCTAAATGGCAAACTCCCTTTAAGCAAGAATTCATGGCGTCTCCACATTCGGCCCTCAAGAAACTTTTATTGAGTTGAACTAAAACCAGGCATGTCTTAAGTGTTCATGGCTGATAATGCGGGATCCTTCAACGCTGGAAACGCCCAGATGGTAACGAGAGTTCTGATAGTGCCGGATCCTTCGACGCTGGAAACGCCCAGATGGTAACGAGAGTTCTGCATGGTCTCAACTTTCTTTCTTTTTTCTTTTTTGTTTTTGAGACACAGTTTTGTTCTTGTTGCCCAGGCTGGAGTGCAATAGTGCAATCTCGGCTCACTACAACCTCCACCTCCCCGGTTCAAGTGATTCTCCTGCCTCAGCCTCCTGAGTAGCTGAGATTACAGGCACCTGCCACCATGCCTGGCTAAGTGTTATATTTTTAGTAGACACAGGGTTTCACCATGTTGGCCAGGCTGGTCTTAAATTCCTGACCTCAGGTAATCCACCCGCCTTGGCCTCTCAAAGTGCTGGGATTACAAGCATGAGCCAATGTATCTGCCCTTCAACTTTCTAAAAAGCTCAAAAGGAGCCCTATCTCATTTATCATGAAATGACCCTACAGCTTACTTTCTTTGGCTTTCATTCTTTATATATTTTTCTCTATGTGAGAAAAAGAGCAAACCCGCAGCTATGCAAGGGGACAGGCCCACAGGCTCGTTTGTGAGGAAGAAGGCTGCTCACTAGGCCCCTGGGGTAAATGGGTGCTGGAGCCTTGCAGGGGGGATGGAATCACATCCTGTCGGGGCTCAAATGTGGGAGGCCCATGCCAGACCCTGGCCCAAGGACATTTATGTGTGACCCTGATGGACAAATGCAGATTGCTTGGTAGATGAATCCCACCAAGATGGAGGCCCCTGCAGGGTTTTTTGAGTATGTTTTTGGGTTTTCTTTTTGTTGTTGTTGTTGTTAATGAGCAACTTTGGGGGTTTTACAAAGAATAAAGATAAATAAGAGGAGGGCCCATTACCTGGTTCTTCTCATGACTAAGATCAAACATCGTCTAAACAGAAGCCTGATGTGTGGAATGTGTGAGAAAAAAACCTGAGTTCATCGCTTCAATAAAACACCAAGGCCAGGCACAGTCGTTCATGCTTGTAATCCCAGCACTTTGGGAAGCTGAGGCAGGCAGATCACCTTTGGTCAGGAGCTCGAGACCAGTCTGGCCAACATGGTGAAACCCCGTCTCTGTTAAAAATACAAAAATTAGCCAGGTGTGGTGGTAGGCACCTGTAGTCCCAGCTACTCAAGAGGCTGAGACAGGAGAATCACTGGAACCTGGGAGATGGAGTTTGCAGTGAGTTGAGATCGTGCCACTGCACTCTAACCTGGGCAACAGAGCGGGACTCCGTCTCAAAAAAAAAAAAGCACCCTAATTGAACTAATTGAACTACAGAACCAACAAAAAGTCATACCATCTCATCTCATCTTATCCATCCTCACATCCATCCACCCATCCAATCATCCGTCCATCTACCCATTCACCCATCCACCCTTCCATCTATCCATCCATCCATTTGTCCATCAATCCATGTATTCATCCATCTATCCTCCCATGCATCCATCCATCCATGCATTCATCCATGTATTCATCCATCTATCCTCCCATGCATCCATCCATCCATCCATGCATTCATCCATCCATTCTCCCATCCATCCACCGATCTTATTCATCCATATATCATATCCATCCATCCATCCATCCATCCATCCATCCATCCATCCAACCATCCACCAATCCATTCATCCACCCACCAATCTACCTATTCACCCTTCCATTTTATCCATCCATCTATCCATACATTATTCATTCATTCACTGACATTCAATACATTTTTATTTCATGCCTGTGGGATGCCAGGCATTGTGCTTGATATTTGGAATACAGAAGAAAATGAAAATGAAACAGATGTGGCCCAGCTCCTGCCCTCTTGGAGTAAATCTTACATTCAGGATAAACTGAGACAGGAAATATAGATCAAGTGATGTCCTAGGACACACAGAGGAGTAGAACTGGTCTGACTTAACCTTGGCAGCCCATGCTTATGAGAGGCTAAATATATCTCAGTGCTCCCTGGACTCCGGTCAAAGCACTCCCTCCCTCTCAGGCCTCTCCTCCAGAAGGAAGTCAGATGACCATTTCCTATCATGAATTCAGCAGTGTCAGCCCACTTACATCCAGGGCATGATTTTTTATGTCATAATAAGCCTAAAGGGTGGAATTCAAAATACTTTTGTTTATCACAATTCATGTGGTTTGGGGTTTTCTTAAATAAGACAGTGACAGGCACAGATACAGACATCGCAGGGTGTTGTGGTTCTGGAAAACACGTGCAATGGGGCCAAGGGAAAAGACAGCTCCTCTTGAAGTCAGAGGTGACTCATGAAGCACAGCTCTCTTTTTGTTTTCAGGATTCTGTGAGGTCCATGACTTTCCAACAGTTCTGAGTTTTGTCACTGCAGAAGGGCCCATGCTCTTTATCCCAAGGCCACCCCATGGGAGAGATGGGCTGGACTGCCAAGTGTGTTTCTGGATTCCTACTCATGGAGGCCAGGTTCTTTATGCAGCCTCTGCCTTACAGCGCTCCTCTAGATCAGAGCTCAGAGGATGGCCTGGCACAGTCAGCATCAGTGAAGGGGCAGGAGGAACATTAACGACCTGGAAAAATGCAATGCTAAGTGGCAAAAAGCTGGTTACAGACACAACTTATACAGCATGACATGATTTGATATGAATGGAACACTACAAAGACAAATACCCATTCCTAACAGCTGCGATGTTTTCTTCTCCAGCTCTGTAGTTTATATTGTATCTTTAGGTCTGTAATCCAGCTTGAATTATCTTTGGTATCAGGTATGAGGTACCTGCTGAGTTCATCTCCTTTTGCATGTGGATCTACAATTGCCCAGCACCATCTGCTGAACAGACTCCCCTTTCTCCATCAAATTGTTTATGCACCTGCGCTAAAAGTCAATACACCATATTGGTATGGGCTGTTTCTGGACTCTTTTCTAACCCACTGATCTATTTGTCTATGTTTAGGTGAATACCACATGGTCTTTTTTACTGTAGCTTTATAGTCATCCTTGAAATCAGGCAGCATGCGTCCTCCAACTTTATTCTTCTAATCTATTTATTTCAGTTTTGCTAAAATATTTCAGACATCCGGTATTTGCAGATAGTATGACATTTCCTAATTGTCCCTAACAACATTGACATTCATTCCTTCTTGTCCTCTAATTCTCGGCCCCTCTTCGTGTTTCTAGGAACGATTATCTCTCTAACGTTCCTTGTTCCTCTTTCCCATTGAGACCCTGACCGCCCTTATAGAAGGAAGCAATACACAAAACAAAGCACCATCAACCATTATCCAGGGCCAGTGGATCGCTTCTCCTCCCACGCCAGCCATCCGAGAAAGGCTCAGCTATGCATCTGCCCCACACATCACAGAGCAAGAGTGTGGTTCTGGTAATCTGTGGGTGTTTTTTTTTTTTTTTGAGACAGAGTCTCGCTCTGTCACCCAGGCGGGAGTGCAGTGGCACGATCTCAGTTCACTGCAACCTCTGCCTCCCAGGTTCAAGCAATTCTCCTGCCTCAGCCTCCCGAGTAGCTGGGATTACATGTGTGCGTCACCACGCCTGGCTAATTTTTATATTTTTAGTAGAGATGGGGTTTCGCCATATTGATTAGGCTGGTCTTAAACTCCTGACCTCATGTGATCCACCTGCCTCGGCCTCCCAAAGTGCTGGGATTACAGGCATGAGCCATCGCGCCCGACCATCTGTGGGTTTTAATTTCACTACAACAAAGTCGCTGGGCAGTTGTGTATTTGCTGGTATTTTGTTCTTTTGTGAAATTAAGTACGTTAGAATTTAGGAAATCAAATCTCAATTTTATCTCTGAGTTGCTTTCTGATCTTGAACATCTTCTCTCAGTATCCAACTCACTGTTCTTATGAGAGTTATACATCCTCTGAATCCTGGCTTTTAGATAATAAGGTGCAACATAGTACCCCAAAAATATCTGATAAATGACACATACCCGGTAATATGACTGTGGCTTTAGAAAAAAAAAAAAAGCACAACACTGTAGTTAATCACAGGGTCTATTTCCGGTGTCACAGTGAGTCTCACAGGACAAACACATCAAACTAGGTCCCTAAAAATGTCAAGAAAACCCACATATCAGCCTAAGAGGATGATCAGAAGTATGCTGAATCATGTTGCAGCTAAAAAGGACCGGGGGAATTTTCTCAGCCTTGTTAATCTGCTCAAGAGGCTTAAAGTAAGATGAGAAAAATGAAACAGAGAAGAGCTGGAGGAAGGAAAACCCAGCAGATGTGTATTCAGGAAGTTACCTTTTGAAACGTGCGAGGTGCTCCTCTGAGTGGCCAAGGATCTGGAAGACTGATTATAACGTTCTAGGGAAATGGACTCTGTGCGTGGGAGTCCCTTGTCAGTGGGAATGCCCCAAGGTGCACACTTAACACTCAAAAGGTAGCAATTACCAGCACAGTTGTGTAATCCTTCCACCCCCAGAGCTCTCAGACAGTCATGTGTCTCAGGATTCAGGTCCTGCAGTAACTACGGCTTAACAAATCATCATTGGTGATATCTCTGGAGTATTTAGTACATTCCAGGCACCAAAGCACATGTATTAATTCATTTAATCCTCACACACAACCCTAAAATATGGCTATTACTACTATTCCCATATTACAGATGAAGAAACCAAGGCCCAGAATTTTGCCAAGGTCACCCAGCTAGAAAATGACTATGCTCAGACTTGAGTTAAGCAGCCTGGCTCTAAAACCAGAGCAAACAACCCTGATGCCATCCTGCCACCATCTCTCCTAGTCTTCAGCCATCCTTCATTATAAAAGCATCAGATTCTGTACACACACACACGACACACACATACACACATGACACACATACACACACGACACACACGTGACACACATACACACGACACATACACACAACACACACATACACATGACACACACGTGACACACACATACACACACACAGTAGTGTTCCTTGGCTACACAGTTCATTGGTTCATTTGGTCAGCACTGTCTCCCAGTGATTGTCGAGTTCCCCCCCATTCTATGTGACCACCACCATCCCACCCTACCGAGAACAGTGAGATTGATGCTCACCTTGAGTCCTTGGGTCCTGAGGTCTGTCTTTTCTTCCTCCTAGCAAACTCACTTCCCCTGTCTTTCTCTGAATCCTACTTCCTTGTGTTCAGCTGCGGACCTGTGCTCATTGGGCCACTTTTTTTTTTTTATTTTCCCTGACAGAGTCTTGCTGTCACGCAGGCTGGAGTGCAGTGGCACGATCTTGGATCACTGCAACCTCCGACTCCCTGCTTCAAGCTATTCTTCTGCCTCAGCCTCCCAAGTAGCTGGGATTACAGGCATGTGCCACCATGCCCAGCTAATTTTTGTATTTTTAGTAGAGACGGGGTTTCACCATGTTGGCCAGGATGGTCTTGATCTCCTGACCTCGTTATCCGCCTGCCTTGGCCTCCCAGAGTGCTGGGATTACAGGCGTGAGCCATGGCACCCGGCCTGGGCCACTTTTCTCCCAGCCCCTGTCCTGGCCTCAAAGCGCTGGCTCCCAACCCCACATGACTCTCACTTACTTAGCTGCAGGAGACGTCACTTGTTTCAAGCAGGAGGTGAGCTCTGGAGTTCAAGTTTCTTCCCAAGAACATTTTTATTGTTCCATATAACACAAATACAGAGCCCATTTGCCAAATGCTCACTCGATAGGTTATTCTAAGGGAACATCCCAGGCCCCTTTCCAGAGGAAGGCAGGGCGCTTCCGGGAGGAAGGGTGTTGTGGGAATCCCACTGGAAGAGGCTGCGGGAAAGCCCGGGTGTGACTGGGCCTCCCTCAGCAGACGGTTTAGGTTGAGCAGTGAGTTCCTCCACATGTGGGGTCTGGGGCTGGCTTCGTGGGGTGACACCCAGGCTGTCCCTGCACTCAGAAGGGCCCACGCTTGCTCTGCTGTCACTGGATTGACATTCTTAGTCATTTTTGAACCATGGATCCCTCATTTTCATCTTGCAATGGGGCCTGCAAATCCTGTAGCTGGTCCTGGCCAGGCGTGTCTCCTGGAGCTGACTGGCTGGAGGCTGGTCCTCCACCCATGCTGGTCTTTGAGCTGGCCGATGCTGGTGATGTGGACCTTCAATACTTGTATGAACCATCCGTCACACAAGTACAGGTCTCGGTGAGTTCCTCATGCAGGGACAGCCCTGTACCTTCCTGCTGCCCTCTGCCCAGGCCCCAGCGGCAACAGCTCCTGTGGCTTCTCCAGCCCCAGCACGCAATCCGGGGCTTCATTATGAGCCAAGTGAGGCCAGCACCCCTCTGTCTTCTGGGGACTTCAAATCGCTTTGCATTTTCACTTCAAGGCAGCATCTCTGGGCCACCAAGGGCTGCAGGTGTCCAAGCAGAAATGGCCTCTGTCTGAGGCTGCTGCAGACGGTACTTGTACAGACAACAACCTCTGACCTTGAGGTCACCCTTTGGCCAATGACCTTCCATTGCTAAAGGAAATCAGGAAGCTCATAGGTTATGGTGCTCCTGAGCCAGTTTTCACACCACACTGCACTCTGGCTGGGGCTAAGTCCTTGCCCTCCCGCGGCACTTTGAGACAATGAATCATTCCCTTGTTGGGTGGGGAGGCACAGGTGGGTCCCTATCCAGGGATCATGACCAAACACACCCAGGCACCTGATGGCTGCCCCCAGCCCTCCCTGAAGAGCTCAATCACTCCTGTGGAGGTGGAGCTCAACAACACAACACTTCTCTGAAAAGAACTTTGGGCCTCAGGGCATGAGGGGGGTGTGTGATGTCATGGGGGCTTCTGGGCCCCTTTTCTGTTCTAGTGAACCAGAGAAGGTGATTGTGGCATCTCAGACCCCCAAGGAAGGGGGAGGCAGGGTGCAGCCACACAAACAAACAGTGAGCAAGTTCCCTGCGGGTTCAGAGCCCTGGCCTTGGCACCATCATTCACTCTGTAATCATTGAGTTGGTCCCCAGATCTTCCGCTGATTCAACGCTCATGTATTAACCTCCTGTCCATCTCAGTCGTGTGCTGGGCGAGGACCAGGACACAGGGAAGCCCAGTCACAGCCCCGAGGCACGAGACAGCAAAATCACTAAGCACAGAGCTATCAGGCCTCTGTTGCAGCGCTGGTAAAGCTCTAAGAAAGCACAGTTAAGCATCAGGAGGGTGTCACTGAAGAAGGGAGACTTAGGTTGAACTCCAGCTGGGACTCAGATGTGAGCAGTTGCCATGAGGCTCCTGAGAACTGTCTAGCTCCTGAGTGTGGTTCCCTCCCAGGTAGGACGGGAGGGGTTCAGGGGAGGCAGAGGCTTCTGACTTGCCTTCCACAGTGCTAGGGAGCCAATGTCTGTCCTTGAGCAACCATAGCAATGTAACAAAACTGGTTCTTTATGGTTTGGGGACTGCAGCACTTTGCAGAGGATTGGCTGGGGAAAGACAGGTCAGTAGACAGAGGCCCCCTGGAGGTGAAGGTGCAGGCTGGGGAGTGGGCGTGGGAGATACAGGGAGGCTTGGCTAAGGCTGGCATTAGGGAGCAGGAAGACACAAAGCTCTGTCTCAGGCTTCTTGCTTGGGTGTTGTTCTGGGTTGAATCCTGATTCTCTTTTCCTCGAAAAAGAAAGTTTCTATGTTGAAGTTCAAAGCAGTTCTTGAAAATGTGACCTTATTTGGAGACAGTGTCTTTACAGAAGTAATCAAGTAAAAATGAAGCGTTAGGGTGGGCCTTAATCCAATATGACTGGTGTCCTTACGGAAAGGAGAAATTTGGAGACATGGACACACACGGAGAACATGTGAAGATGAAGGCAGAGATGGCAAACACAAAGATGGCTAGCAAACCACTAGAAGCCCTCAGAGGCTCCAACTCCGCCAGCACCTTGCTCGCAAACTTCTTGCCTCCAGAACCGTGAAAGTATAAAGTTTCCGAGATCTTAGGCCCCCTGGTTTGTGGTTCTTTACAGCTCTGACAAACACACACAGATGCCTATGAAAGGGTGATGGCCTCAGAGGGCTAGGGGCTGGGGAAGCCAGCCGGTTTGAAGAAGAGAGCTTGTGTGGGGTGGGACCTGCTGAGGAGGGGTCCAGCTTGGAATGTGGGAGTTGTCAGGAACCCCTGATTGGAGCCAAGGAACCTCCTGGCACAAAGCAGTGAGTTACCAGTCTCAGGGGACACTTAAAATTGGAGCTGGCAAGGGGAAGGATTAACAAAGGTGGCAGAAAACAGTCACAGAGGTAGGACAGGGCAGAAAAAAAAACAAAAAAAACAGTCACAGAAGCAACGAGAAGAAACTGTTGAGAGGGTTGAAACCCTGGGGACAAAGCAAGTGGGAGCAGGCCGCCCCGTTGCTGTTGAACGCCCCGGGAGTTCCAGTCCAACCGGGAGGTTTGCCTCCCCACTCCGAAGGAGAGGGGGCTGCCCAGGGGGAAAGGACTGGCCTTCAGAGTGAAAGGAGATTTTCAGCTATTTGTTATTTTGGCCATTGTCCTAGGGCAGGGGCCGTTTCTGAAGTTTTATGTGGAGACTGAATTTAAATCCAGCCACTGAGCTGAAGAGAACAAGATGTACTTTTTTGCTTTCTCTCTTTTACTCTTAGAAACTTCATGATGATCAACCACACCTCACATTTGCTTCATTCAGTCTATGGACCAGGAAGAATTTTCTGTGACACATTCAGGTTCTTACTCATTTACAGAGTCACAGATCTGTCAGCCTGGGAACCGGCCCCCAAATGGAAGACCTAGGCAGTTCTGATGGGTCCATCTGCAAGGTATGTTTTGCAAAGGGCCCCTTTACGTTGAATTCCCTTTCCCTGAAACATGGCAGGGGAGGAAGAAGACACACACAAAAACCCTGTGTTCTGAAATAACAGGAATTCAGTGACAGGCCTCAGAGGCTTGTTGTGTCCTTCAAAAGTCATCCTCAGAGGTAGGGCCATGTCAATGTGAGAATCTGTATTCAAATGAGGAAGCCACCTTACCCATGAGGGCCCTTGTGCTGAATTTTATGGAAAGATCTGGAAGTGTTGCCCACACTCAGGTACTATTAGCAAGTGTGGGGTTCATCCGTACATCAAATAAGGGAAGCTGATGTAGAGATGAACCCGTGCCTGCTGATTGGTAGGATTCGGATCTGCAGGATTATATGTGTGACGCTTAGGAGTTGGGTACAACTTTGTTAAAACAGAAACATTTTCTCACCACACCAAAGAGGCTGTGGCAAGGCCTGCTTCTCCCACAATCATCTGGCTCCCTCTAGCGGGTCCCTGGCCACTGGACAGTGAGGTGGAGACTATGGTCTCGCCCACGCTAGCTGACCGACCCATCTGTCAACTCCAGCCCAGAGCTGTGGGGAAAGGAGTCGGGGAACCACCTGGAGGCTGAAATTCGGATGGAGCCCTCAGCTCTCAGGCACCCTCCTTCGTGAAGCCTTCCCAAGTCTCCCTGTGGTTTATCACACGCTTATGTGTGTTGATGTATCAGGCACATATTGCCTAAGAATTCACGTACGTCTGTCTTTTTCTCTAGACCATGAATAACTTGAGTATATATTTTTTCTGTGTTCATTTTTGTTTTCTTGGCACCTAGTACAGTGCCTGGGACAATAGTGTTAAAAAATAAGTGTTTAGGCCCAGCGCGGTGGCTCACGCCTGTAATCCCAGCACTTTGGGAGGCCGAGGCGGGCGGATCATGAGGTCAGGAGTTCAAGAGCATCCTGGCTAATATGGTGAAACCCCATCTCTACTAAAAAAAACATACAAAAAAAAGTAGCCGGGCGCAGTGGCAGGTGCCTGTAGTCCCAGCTACTCGGGAGGCTGAGGCAGGAGAATGGCGTGAACCCAGGAGGCGGAGCTTGCAGTGAGCCGAGATCGCACCACTGCACTCCAGCCTGGGCGACAGAGTGAGACCCCGTCTCAAAAAAAAAAAAGTGTTTATTGACTTAGTAAGGAAATAAAATGCCAGCTAATTCAGGCTCCTGTGCTCCATATACAAATAAAGGGCTGGCACTGCCAAAGTTAATCTATACAACAGTGGCTAAGCTCTTATTTCTAAGGATGCAGATATTGGGGGATATGAACCTTTCATAATGCACATATTTTGACAGAGTTAAAGCCTTAAGTTTTCTGGAAGAAATAAAATGTTAACTGGATCACTACACTTTTAACTTCCATAATCAAAATATAAAATCCTATAAACACATGGCAGGAAGGTTTTGATGTGTGACTTACTGGGAAAGCCCAGGGGTCTAGGGTGGCCAAGGGCAAGGGGAAGAAATTCGGGGCAAGGAAGCACTGACTGTCCATGTCTGATGGGGACTGAACATGCTCTTGTCTTTCAAGGGGAGTCACAGAAGTGTGTGATGAGGAGAGGAAGAGATACAACAGATGTCTTATGAGAAGCAGAGGGAGGACCTCAAGAGACTGCCTGGCCCAGTCCCTCACTAGGCGTAAGAAACAAACTCACCCATCCAAACCCGAAGAATGGACTCAGAGACCCAGAGAACAGCGAAAGTGAGATTTTTAATAAACAGTCAGTCTTGCAAAATCGGGTGTCTGACGGACAGGCACACCCAGCAGTTTCAACAAGCAATTTGTCCACTAGTGTGCAGGCTCCTCCCCCAGTTTCCCACAGGCTGAGTACTATGGGGTCACAACCTTCCTGGACGTCACCTATTGATTGTTAGGCAGGGGCTTTAGGTGTTTTTGTTTGTTTGTTTGTTTTTAGGGTTGTCTTGCTGCATTTTGTCACAGCCCACAATGCATTGCAATCCTAGTCAGCTCAGGGGCTCTTCAAGTATTTCACTTACGACCTAAGTAGCTGGGCTGGCTGATAAGAACAGACAAAGGGAGCTATTTTGCAGGCTAGTAGTAAGCTTTCATTTTAGACTAAACTTCTTCGGTTCTGGTGAAGGCAACTAATGGGGGGTAAGCGGGGAAAGGGGGAGGCCTACAAGCAGGCATCAGCTATCCAAGCAGGGGCCTCGAATATCCTGTTTCTTCTGTAGTCTGCTGACCTAAGCCAATTTAAGGCACTTTGTCTTGGAAATGCAACACTGTATACATTATGTCCTTCACTGGTGAAAATGAGAGGGGCTGTGACTGACTCAGTCCCATAGTCACAGGCACCGGAACAGTCCCCAGCCTGCCCCTTGACTCAGAGCCCCCATCTCCAAACTGTGCCTCAGATTTGGGAGCACTAACGCGATAACTTTGACTTCTTTTGTGCTGTAGTGACCAGCCTTCTGAAAGTGCCCAGAAATTCTCTCTGAAGTGTGTTTGAGGCCATGGGACGGAGGGAAGTGGCCTTTTAGCAGTACTGGGCAGGCAGAATTGGCAAGAGTAATTGGAAAGCTAAGGTACCTCAGCAGCAAGAGGTCTGGGACCACAGAAGCAGGTCAGGAAGCTGTTTTGGGGCCACTACGACCTTTGGATGTGGACTTTGCTTTCAGGCTTACACAGTGCCCGTAAGTGAGCTGCACTGCAGCCCTAGCCCTGCCACTTGTGAGTGAGCTGATCTCAGCAGGGTGGTATGCTCCCTGCTCCGTGCTCCCCTGCTTTGCAACACCACAGCCTGCGTGGTTAATATCCCGGATGACAGTTGCTTGTTTTTATTCCAACATGACCAGTTAGAAGCAGGGCAACCGTGGACAAGGTGGTGAACCCCTTTGTACTTCTGTGTTTTCAGTTGAAAAATGGAGACGTCAAGTTCCCTAGTCACAGAGCAGCTGTGATGGGACCCACGTAAACAGCCCTGATCAGTAGTGAAGAGCAACATGTGGCACACAGGGCCTCCTGCACAAGCAACAGTCGCTGCTTGCTGTTACTGTGGGCTCCACGTTGGGATCAGACACACCTGTCTTCAGTGGCTTGCAGTTGCAGCAAGGACCGAATGTGAGTGAAAGCACTTTGTGCCTGGAAATGGACAGAACATTGAAATATGATGCCCCGAAAATCGTCCAGAAGACAGGTGTGGCCTGTGGGTGCTTGATACATGGTGGTGGCTTTGTTACTGAATAACAGGGAGGTATGATTGCAAAGGTCACTGTTGCCTTCAAACTCTACATTTTGGTTTGAATTCCTTCTGAAACTTGCTTCTTGCACATCTCTGCTCCTGTAGTCCATCCACAAAGGGCCATCTGAGGAAACTTGCTCTGCACCACGCTCCCCCATGGTGCCAGGAACACAGCAGTGCACAAGACAGACATGAGTCTGCTGGGAAAGAAACATTAGGCAAATACAGTCATCCCTGGGAATCTGTAGGAAATTGCTTCCAGGGCCATGGGTAAGACATGAAAATCTGCACATACTCAAGTCCCATAGTGAGTCCTGGGGACCGAAGGTTATGAAAAGCCAGGCTTCCGTACGGGCAGATTTAAATCCTGAGAATACTATATTTTCTATCTGTGTTTGGTTGTGGATACAAAACCCACGGACTGTATTTTTTGGAAAAAAAAATCCATCTCTAAGTGGACCCTCGCAGTTCAAACCGGTGTTTAAGAGTCAACTGTAATTTCAAATTGGTATCGCAACCTTATTAAGACTGTCATCTGGGATTTGATTTTATCCTTCTTAGAAGCTATTCAGTCAACCTGCTACTGTTTCCTGGATGTTATGTCCAGCCGCACTTCTGTGTCAGTTCCCCTCAGTCCCAGTTCCCTCACAGGTGACACAGCAGGCTCAGATGAATGCCGTGTGTGCAGCGTGAAGCGTGGAGCTTGGAGAAGGCGCTGTGCTTACAGCAAGCCAGAAGCCAGCCTGCTGTTTGCCTGGAGGATCATGGGGAGGGGTCAATGTTACCTCACCTCTCAGAGTTATCAGCTGGACCTGAGAAATGGGCCAGCTAAGGGACACTCAGGGCCTTGCAGTTGTGGCATGCTCAGCAAGGGACAGGGTGCAAGGATGGCCTCTTCCAACAAAGACATCAAAGGCTATCTATATACATCCATGATGCTATCACTTTAATACAACATTTTCTTCTGGTTTTATTCTTCCAGAATTTGCCTATGTACATACATATTTTTGGAATTGTAACCATGGCATATATAACACTTAACATGCTGCTTTATTCACTTAACTGTGTATCCTAAGCAGTTCCCCATACTTCCGCACAATTTTCACAATTATCTTGCACATTCCACTGTGTTCATGGACCATCATGGTTGGACATTTAGGTGGCTCCCACTTTTGTTCTTGGCCTGTCTTTCTGAAAACATACGGTGAGCACAGTAAAGACAAGACACTGGAGCTGGGCAGAGCAGATTCTGCCTGCCCGTGTGCTTTCTGGGCCCGCCTTCCATCCCACTGCTCCCTTCAGCATCCTCGGCCCAGGAGGATGAGACTTTCGGGAGCCTCAGGAGCTTATGCCCAGAGAAGAAAACACCTGGTTCTCAGCATCCCACGTAGTAATGATGTCGAATGCTCTTTCATCTACACACAGGGTCTATTCTAAAAGAAAACATTACAGGCAGGCAGTACCAGACCACTGTGCTTGCAGCCCTCATGAGAAGGCTCAGAAGACACAGGAGCTGCCCTGGGTGTGAATTTCGTGTCCATGCTGGCTTCTCGCAGTGGCCCTTGGCATAGGTTGGGATCTTGCAGCAAGATTCTTCATCGGTTTCTCCATCTCTGAAGACTTCTTGCCAACAGCTGTACACGTGAATATATTATTTTCTCTTATGCAGCTGTCTGTTTTACATGAGTAGAATGGATGTGTGCTTCAGGGTCCCAGGAGAAAACACATGCTGTGCCCAGACAAGACAGGAGCTGGGCTTAGAAAGGGCCCTGTTTACTCGAGGTGTGGCGGGGGGTTTAGCACCACAAAGGAAAGGGAAGTTGACTCCTACCCATGTGACAGGGAAGCTTGTACCACTCTTACCTACACGGAGAGCCCAGTATGAGAGGAGAGGTAGGTAGAATGGTCTGCATGGAGAGAGCTGGGGCATCTGGGCCCAGGTAGCTCCAGGACAACTGTGCCAGCAGCTGCTCTACAGTCTCCTCCAGGATCTCCATCTACTGAGCCCACCTGGAAGCTGCAGGGTGGAGCTCTAGTGTCCAACCAGGTCCATCTCCCAGAGTGCTCGGCAGGGCAGAGGAGCATGGGCAGCAGTCTGGAAGAGCAAAAGAAATCGGGCACAAAATTCCTAAGGAGACAGTAAGTTTGCCAAAGGGCACAGACACGTCCTAAATTCATAGCTTGCTAGAGTTAAGAGCATTAACAACAATAAAAATGCTCCTTGCCTGTAAATGGGATAATCATAGAATGACTAAATGAGGTCAAGTCACTCCAGGACCATGAAAACAGAAAAGAGCACTAGAAGAGGTTGAACTTCATGGGTGGGTGGCAGACAGTGCATGGGCTACACCGAGGTACTTTCCCCACTGGTACTGTCCCTAATTCACCTTGCCTGATGGCCTAGACTCAATGTTAGCAGCTGCCATGCTGGCCCACCTGGGGAAGGCCACAGAGGGTTCGTGAAGCAGCCTGCTGTGCTCTACTTAATCCTCCCATGACCTTTACCTGTTCCTCTTATCTTGCAGTTTTTGGAAGCATCTTTTTCTCTGGGGCTTTGTGATGGCCAATAAGGAGGCCTGAGTCTCCCCAGAAGTTGCCCAGCACCTACTTGCCCAGCCCGCACTCCAGCTGTGGGTCAACTGGGAAGGAACAAAAACAAGACAAGGGGCTCCCTTCTGCTCCCACTCCCAGAGAATGAATCCCCCAGCTGCCTGCCCGCTCCTCTTTAACTGAGTCTTCAGATGAGGTGAAGCGGTGGGGTCTTCAGATTATCCTGTCCTGGGAGCAGAAAGTTGAGTTGCAGAAGGAGGCCTCGTGTTTGAGGAGCTGGGGAACATTTCCTCCTTCATTGATAGGTTCCTCCTGTCTCAGGCCTGAAGCACATCTGAACGCAGAGGCAGGAGAACGGGCAAGGGAGAAATAGGTATGGCTCCGGGTGGGAGGAGGGCCCGGCATCAAAGGATCAAAGCCCCCACTTAGCATCACAGTTTGCCTGTGCACGTTTCTGTGAATTAGGCAAGCAAGAGATATATTATTACAGCATTCCCTAAACTCCATTTCAATCATACCCAATTTCAAAAGGTGACTAACAGGTGAGGTGGGATGGCAGAAAGATCCCCGAGTCACAAGCACCTGGAATCCCCAGGCTGGCGCTTTCTGAATCATTTAGTTGGATGAGATCTTAGAAAACCTTGCCTCACCCTTTCTGGAAGGCCATCATCACTTCCAGTGAAGCAAACCTGTTGCCTTCCAAAGCATCAACAGCTCTTATTGTTAGAAAATGCCACCTGAAATTTAGCTGAAACAGTCTAATGGAGTGCTCAATTCCAAATGAACTTCTCTACCTCATTAAGTAGAATAAGAAAATTGTAAGCCTCAGACATCTTGAATTTAGTCTTTGTCAAAATTACGGTGAGGCTTGATCCCTCAAACTTCAGTAGCAGGAGACTTAGAGGGCCCAGTTGCTGCTGACATTGTTAAGCACTGAACTGATATTAGCATTTGCTTAGAAAGACAAGAGAATACCCACATATCCAATACGTTTTAAGTAAAAATCTATACTTCTTTTGTATGTTGTCATTTAAAATAATGAATTTATCAGCTTAATTAGATAGAGCAAAAGTTTTTATGTAATTTGGAAAGTTTGGGTTAATTGTCCCACCTCGAGAACGTGGATGTTTATCACAGGAAATATTTGTCAGAGTGTTTGTTGTAGAAATCCGTGATGCTCACTTCAAGCTATAATCTGTGTTTGCCACAGAGGTTTGTTCTAATTCCCCAACCTTGCCACGACTGACCTGGGTCATCACCATGTGCTTATTGAAGAGCCTTGGAATACTGTATAGACCCGTACAGAGTTGTTCAAATAGGTAAGCACTTTCCTTCTGGTGAATTTTTTTTTTTTTTTTTTTTTGAGATGGAGTTTCACTCTTGTTGCCCAGGCTGGAGTGCAATGGTGAGATCTTGGCTCACTGCAACCTCCGCCTCCCAGGTTCAAGCGATTCTCTTGCCTCAGCCTCCGGAGTAGCTGGGATTACAGGCACCTGCCTCCACGCCCGGCTAATTTTGTATTTTTAGTAGAGATGGGGTTTTCTCCATGTTGGTCAGGCTGGTCTTGAACTCCCAACCTCAGGTGATCTGCCTGCCTCGGCCTCACAAAGTGCTGGGATTACAGGTGTGAGCCAACGCGCCAGGCCGAAAATATTTTATAATAAAGTGACTGTTGTAGATCAACTTTATAATACAATGCGGATTCTCAATTCTTATAACAAAGACTAATGTACATAAATTTCAGTATGTTTTAAAATTAGCCAGTACTTAGTAGAAAGCCCATATAGTTTACTGTAGCACTTCTGCACTTATAGTTTAGGTCTATCTAGATGTATGACTTCTCAGATGCTGCCGAATATTGACCTTTTGCATGGTATTCAGTCTTTGAATTTTTATTTCATAATATGCTGGAACCACGATATTCTATCTGATCAGCAACTGGTCTGGTATCTGGGGCTCATAATTTTCTTTTTCCGCTTCATATTTCAGACAATTGAGGACGACTATAATAGTTTCTCATTAGAAATACATGCTAATAAACATCATGTCTTTGGTATTAAGTGGCAATTAGATGAAACAACCTGAAATTCTGTCTGATACCAAGATTGAACTTTGCTGAGATTACTGTTTCACTCACCGAAAATATCAGAATACTCAAGGGAGTTATTTTTTTTCTTAATGTAACTTTCATAAAGGAAATGAAAGAAATGTGGAGACTGAAAACAGTTGTCTGGTGTCTCAATACTGCATGCAGGTTCAACTACATTCTAAGCAAGTTGACTGTTATAATACATTTCACATTTTCTGTGATTTTGTTTGTGCTGAGACCTTATGCAATTACAAAGCAGATTTTTTACACTAACCTACACTGAGAAAAGAAAACCACCGTTCCCCTTTTAAACAGGAGAGTGCCTCAAGTACACTCGGGATCCCTCTCACCAAGCACAGCAAGGCTTGTGACTTCAAGCACACCAAGCTTGTGACTTTTTCTCCTACAAGGTGCACCTCGTTTTTTCTTACTGACAAATTGGCTTTAAAGTAAAGTTAGTTCCCTATCACACTGGCCCCCAAGACTCCAACTCCTGCTTCTCTTGGGATCTCTGCCCAGAGTCCAATCTCCCCTAAGGCGTGGTGCAGTGCTGTGCCCACACCTAGGCTCTGGGGGTGGGCACCCTTTGACTTTCCTCATATCATTCCACCCTCGACACATCCAAATGTGAACACATCTTCTCCACAAAGTGCCCCTTCACCACGCCAGTTCCCAGACACTTTATTTCTTCCCTTGCCTAGAGTGCTGCCCCCAAAACCAGCCCCCCATCATTGGCCATGTCCTTGCAGAGGCTGAACCATCCCACAATCTGTCAAGGATATCAGGGAAGAGCATGAGCTGGATAGACTTCAGGCTCTGCCAGCAGCTACATTCTAGGGGTGCCCGGACGTCCTGGTCTCTTGAGATGAGATGGTCTTGTGTCTGGAATTGGTCTCACTGACTAAAAGAATAAAGCCGCAGACCTTCACAGTGAGTGTGACAGTTTTTAAAGATGGTGTGTCTGGAGCTAGTTCCTTCAGATGTTTGGACGTGTTCAGTTTCTTTCTGCTGGTGGGTTTGTGGTCTCGCTTGCTTCAGGAGTGGCTGCAGACCTTTGTAGTGAGTGTCACGAGCTCTTAAGGTGGTGCGCCTGGAGTTTCTCATTCCTCCCAGTGGGTTTGCCATCTCACTGCCTTTAAGGAGGGAAGCTGCAAAGCTTCGCGCAGTACGACAGTTTCCAAACATGATGCAAGCACAGCTTACCACGGTTGCCTCCGCAGCCCGCTTTTATTCCCTTATCTGACCCCACCCACATCCTGCTGATTGGCCCATTTTACAGAGAGCTGATTGGTCCGTTTTGACAGGGTGCTGATTGGTGCATTTAGGAATCTTGAGCTAGACACAGAGTGCTGATTGGTGCATTTACAATCCTTTAGCTAGACACAAAAGTTCTCCAAGTCCCCACTAGATTAGACACAGAGCACTGATTGGTGCGTTTACAAACCTTTAGCTAGACACAGAGTGCTGATTGGTGTTATAATCCTGTAGCTAGACATAAAAGTTCTCCAAGTCCCCACCAGACTCAGGAGCCCAGCTGGCTTTGCCTAGTGGATCCTGCGCTGGGGCCGTGGGCAGAGTTGCCCGCCAGTCCCACACTGCACACCCACACCACGCACCAGCACTCCTCAGCCCTTAAGCATCGATAGGACTGTGTGCTGTGGAGCAGGGGGCGGCACCCCTTGGGCAGGCTCAGGCTGCTCAGAAACCCACGGCGGCTGGGGGGAGGCTCAGGCATGGTGGGCTGCAGGTCCCGAGCCCTGCCCCGTGGGGAGGCAGCTAAGGCCCAGTGAGAAATTGAGCGCAGCACCGGTGGGCCGGCACTGCTCGGGGAGCCAGAGCACCCTCCACAGCTGCTGGCCCGGGTGCTAAGCCCCTCACTGTCTGGGGCTGGTGGGGCCGGCCAGCCAGCTCTGAGTGTGGGGCCCACCAAGCCCACGCCCACCCGCCAAGCCCACGCCCACCCGGAACTCTAGCTAGATCACAAGTGCCATGCGCAGCCCCAGTTCCTGCCCCTGCCTCTCCCTCCACACCTCCCCGCAAGCTGAGGGAGCCGGCTCCTGCCTCGGCCAGCCCAGAGAAGGGCTCCCACGGTGCAGCGCTGGGCTGACGGGCTGCTCAAGCACAGCCAGAATGGGCGCCGAGGCCGAGGAGGCACCGAGAGCGAGTGAGGGCTGCCAGCACTCTGTCACCTCTCACTACCGCACTCTGTCCTACCCTCCCATGCCCCTCCAGCACCCTGATCCTACCTGCACCCCGCTCCTACTGAGAGGTGAAGCCCGGCTGGGCTTCTGGGTTGGGTGGGGACTTGGAGAACTTTTCCCTCTAGCCAAATGTTTGTAAATGCACCAATCAGCAGACTGTAAAAACGCACCAATCAGCACTCTGTGTCTAGCTAAAGGTTTGTAAGTGCACCAATCAGCACTCTGTAAAAATGCACCAATCAGTGCTCTGTGTCTAGCTAAAGGTTTGTAAATGCACCAATCAGCACTCTGTAAAAACGCACCAATCAGCTCTCTGTAAAATGGACCAATCAGCAGGACATGGGCAGGGCCAAATAAGGGAAAAGCTGGCCATGCGAGCCAGCAGTGGCAACCTGCTTGGGTACCCCTCGATGCTGCAGAGGCTTTGTTCTTTCACTCTTCACAGTGAATCTTGCTGCTGCTCACTTTTTGGGTCCGCACCACCTTGAAGAACTGTAACACTCACTGCGAAGGTCTGCGGCTTCTATTCTGAAGTCAGCCAGACCATGAACCCACCAGGAGGAACAAACAACTCTGGACGCCCCACCTTGATAGAGCTGTTAACACTCACTGCGAAGGTCTGCAGCTTTACTCCTGTGAAGTCAGCAAGATCACGAACCCACCAGAAGGAAAAGACTCTGGACACATCTGAACATCTGACGGAACAAACTCCAGACACACCATCTTTAAGAACAGTAACACTAACCGCGAGGGTCTGCGGCTTCATTCTTGAAGTCTGCGAGACCAAGAACCCACCAAAAAGAACCAATTCCGGACACACTACCTGCTTTCGACCTCACAGCACCTAGCTCCTACCTGGACCTTTCTCCTACCTGTGCTTGTCCCAGCAGCACCCGGCTGCTATCCGCCCTGCAGCACCCTATCCTACCCATGCTTGCCCCACTAGAACCCCAATCTTACCCACACTCTGCTCCTTTCAGTGCCCTGCCCTGCCAGCACCCCATCCTACACATGCCTGGCCCAGCAGTCACCCTACTCCACCTGAGCCCCGCCCCTACTCGCACCCCGCTCCTATCCATGGCTCACCACTGCAGCACCAGCCACTACCCAAACCTCGCTCCTACCCACGCCCAGCCCTGCCAGCACCCCATGCTACCCACGGCCCACTCCAACAGCACCTCAATATTACGCATACCCTGATCCTACCCACACCTCACTTCTACCCGTGCCCTGCCCCACCAGCACCCCACTCCTAGTGTGTCCGGAATTGGTTCCTTTTGGTGCGTTCTTGGTCTCGCTGACTTCAAGAATGAAGCTATTGACCCTTGCGGTGAGTGTTACAGTTCTTAAAGATGGTGTGTCCAGAGTTTATTCCTTCAGATGTTCAGATGTGTCCAGAGTCTCTTCCTTCCAGTGGGTTTATGGTCTTGCTGACTTCAGGAGTGAAGCCGCAGACCTTCGCAGTGAGTGTTACAGCTCTTAAAGGTGGAGTGTCTGGAGTTGTTTGTTCCTCCTGGTGGTTTCGTGGTCTCGCTGACTTCAGGAATGAAGCCACAGACCCTCGCAGTGACAGCTCTTAAAGGTGGTGCGCGTCTGGAGTTTTTGTTCCTCCTGGTGGGTTTAATTTAATTTTTAAAATTGCTCTTATATGGCTGGGTGATGTGGCTCACGCCTGCAATCCCAGCACTTGGGGAGGCTGAGACGGGTGGATCACTTGAGGCCAGGAGTTCGAGACCAGCCTGGCCAACATGGTGAAACCTTGTCTCTACTAAAAATACAAAAATTAGCCGGGCGTGGTGGTGGGTGCCTGTAATCCCAGCTACTTGGGAGGCTGAGGCAGGAGAATCACTTGAGCCTGGGAGGCGAAAGTTGTGGTGGGCCGAGCTGCAACCACTGCACTCCATTATAGGTGACAGAGTGAGACTCTTTTTCAAAACAAAAAAAAAAGGACAAAAAATTGTAGTTCTAGAATAAATAGGTGAGTTAAAAAGGTGTTATCTGTGTTACTTAAAAACGAGGCTTCCTTTTTTTTTTTTTTTTTTTTTGAGACGAAGTCTTGCTCTGTCGCCCAGGCTGGAGTGCAGTGGCCCGATCTTGGCTCACTGCAACCTCTGCCTCCCAGGTTCCAGTGATTCTCCTGCCTCAGCCTCCTGAGTAGATGGGACTACAGGTGCACGCCATCATGCCTGGCTAATTTTTGTATTTTTAGTAGAGATGGGGTTTCACCATATTGGCCAGGCTGGTCTCGAACTCCCGACCTTGTGATCTGCCTGCCTTGGCTACCCAAAGTGCTGAGATTACAGGTGTGAGCCACTGTGCCCGGCCGACTTCCTTATATTTTAACCCACTAAACAATGAGGAGGAATTGTTCTCATTAAGTACAAGGGCACTGGATCCTCAGGACCCTGACTTCATAAGAGAAACAGCAGCATATCCTGAAAGTTTCTGACACTTCCTGCTCACAGGCACCAAAGCTATATGTGTAAACTTATCCACTTCTTGCCAAAGGAACCCTCCCCTGGGAAGATGAAGCTTCTTGGACGTGACCACCTCCAGGAACCAACGGGCGGGCAACCTTTATGCATGTGTGACCAGACCTCCAACTATAAGCATGGTGTGCAGTACAGAAGAGCCTGCTATGAAACTGAAATTGATGGGACATTTTATAGGAATTGATAGAGATGTTGGTCCTCAAAAGCTTTAAATCTGTGATCTGCAAAATAAAATGTGTTGGAAACCTCTGAACAAAATTTTTTTCTACTATATTTGGAATATTTTTCTTCCATTGTTAAGTACACATGTGTATACAAAATGTCCAGGAAAATGCCATATAATAATGAATAGTGAGATATACACATTTATTTATTTGAGACGAAGTTACACATTTATTTAGTTATTTATTTGAGATGAAGTTTCACCCTTGTTGCCTCGGCCAGAGTGCAGTGGTGCAATCTCAGCTCACTGCAACCTCCGCCTCCCAGGTTCATGCGATTCTCCTGCCTCAGCCTCTCAAGTAGCTGGGGTTACATATGCCAGCCACCACACCTGGCTAATATTTTGCATTTTTAGAAGAGATGGGGTTTCTTCATGTTGACCAGGCTGGTCTTGAACTCCTGACCTCAGGTGATCCACCCGCCTCGGCCTCCCAAAGTGCTGGGATTACAGGTATGAGCCATTGCTCCTGGCCGAGATATACACATTTAAAGTTGTTACCAAACTTCAAGGATCAAAGAAAAATTTCTAAAATGGGGACATCTGAGGAAAGGAAAAGTTCTGTTCAAAAGTAAATTTTTCTCAGAGTTTTTCATAGTGATGTTTAATGCTAGAAGAAATGGAATAATATAACACGTGTATGTATACTGTATATGTAACTAAAGACATAAAAAATGGTCTTGAATTATAATGCACAAAGCCAATAGCATTAGTTACTTCTGAAAAATGTACTGGGATTGAAAAAAAGACTCTGGTCTTCTTTAAAATTTTAATTTTTTAAATATTATTAAATAACATTAAATAATTATTAAATAATTTATTATTTAAATAAATTATTATTAAATAATATTAATAATAACCACCCCAACAACAATAACAATGCTGAAGCAACCTCTATCAAGTTATCAGGACAAGACAATGTGATCCAAACAGGTATGTTCAAATTTTTAAGTAGATAGAAGCAAGCATCAATTTCAAATATACGAGGACTAACCCATCTCATGAAATAATTTTGGTAAGCAAGAAATGACAGGAGAAGCCATGACTTTTAAAAAAATTAATAGTAAGCAACCAATCCATTATAAAATTGTTAGACAATTTTGAAAATGGTTATAGAATTACATGGTTTACAGAATTACATGCTGCAAACTATGAAAAGATAGGAGAAATGAGAAACCAGCCTTTTTTCACTGAACTGGACTCAAGGAGGAATATGGTAGGTGAAGTTTTTTGTGTTTTTTTTTTTGTTTTTTTGACAGAGTTTCACTCTTGTTGCCCAGGCTGGAGTGCAATGGTGCAGTCTCGGCTGTTGTTGCCCAGGCTGGAGTAAAATGGCGCAATCTCAGCTCACTGCAACCTCCGCCTCCCAAGTTCAAGAGATTCTCCTGCCTCAGCCTCCTGAGTAGCTGGGATTACAGGCATGCACCACTATACCTGGCTAATTTTGTATTTTTAGTAGAGATGGGGTTTCTCCATGTTAGTCAGGCTGGTCTCGAACTCCCAGCCTCAGGTGATCTGCCCACCTCGGCCTTCCAAAGTGCTGGGATTACAGGCGTGAGCCACTGCGCATGGCTGGTGAGTTCTTATATATGTAACACTGATAAATGTGAATGATGTCAGAGAATTTAAATTATGCCAAAAGAAGAAGTGTGTTTTTGATGGTGTTCTCAGATTAGGGTCTTCCAGAAAGGTTGGAGGATCTTCCAGAAAGATTCCAACATTAAACAAACCAGATAATAAGGTAACCGAGAGCCATTGTAGGTTCATGGATGGTATGGTAGATTATATTACTCTTAAGATTTTTCCCCTCCCCCACCTGCATATACTACCCCATTTCATTAATGTAGGACTTGACCAACCACTTTCTTTGCTCAATGTAGAATTAGCACACTTGCACAATCAGGGCCTTCCAATGTGATTACAAGATTGGGTGCATTCTCTCTTGGTTCTGCCATTACTGTTACAACAATAACAGAAAGTTGACCATTCCTCTTCTTTAGTTCCAAAAGTAAAAATAAAATGGATGTTAAGAGACAGAAAACAAGCCACAGACTCATTTGTTGATGGACATGTAGGTTGATTCTATACCTTAGCTGTTGTGAATAGTGCTACAATAAACATATAAGTACAAGTATCCTTTTGATATATAGTTTTCTTTTCTATCGGTTGACTAACCAGTAGTGTGATTGCTGTGTCCCTTGGCAGCTGTATTTTTAGTTTCTTGAGAAAACTCCATGTCATTTTCTATAATGGCTGCACCAATTTACATTCCTACCAACAGCATATGAGTTCTCTGCAAACTCACTGGCATTTGTTATTTTTTGTCTTTTCAATGATAACCATTTATTTGAACTGGAGTGCGATTATATCTTATTGTGGGTTTTATTTGCATTTCCCTGACAATTAGTGACATTGATCTTTTTTATATATTTCATCATCATTTGTATGTCTTTTTTAAAAGTCTATTTAGATCTTTTACCCTTTTTTTTTTTACTGTCACATTGAGTTCCTTGTACATTCTGGATATTAGTGGTCTATTATTTGCTTTTTGCCTTTGCTTTTGATGTCTTACACATAAAATCTTGGTGCAGACTAATGTCCTGAGGCATTCTCCTATGTTTTCTTCTAGTAGTTTGATAGTTTGGGGCCTTACATTTAAGACCTTAATCCATTGTGAGTTTATTTTGGTATATGGTGTCTGGTTTTATTCTTCTCCATTGGCTATCCAGTTTTTCCAGTGCCATTTATTGAAGAGGGTGTCCTTTCCCCAACGTATGTTATTGGCACCTTTGTCCAAAATCAGTTGCCTGTAAATACGTGGATTTATTTCTGGGTTCTGTTTTCTATGGCCTTGACCCAAAGAATCATTACTTCTTGAAATGCAATTCAAATTAGCATAAAACATTTGAAGTTTAGGGAAAAGCTAATGGCATTAGAATCCTCATAATCTGTATTAGTCCATTTTCATACTGCTGATAAAGTCATACCTGAGACTGGGTAACTGATAAAGAAGAGAAGGTTTAATGAACTCACAGTTCCATGTGGCTGGGGAGGCCTCACAATCATGGCAGAAGGTGAAAGGCATGTCTTATGTGGCAGCAGACAAGAGAGAAAGGAGCGCCAAGTGAAAGGGAAAACCCCTTATAAACTCATCAGATTTCATGAAACTTACTGACACAAGAATAGTATGGGGAAAGCCACCCCCATGATTCAATTATCTCCCACGGGGTTCCTCCCACAACATGTGGGAATTATGGGAGCTACAATTCAAGATAAGATTTGGGTGGGGACAAAGCCAAACCATATCATTCTGCCCCATCCTCTTCCAAATCTCATATCCCCACATTTCAAAACCAATCATGCATTCCCAACAGTCCCCCAAAATCTTAACTCATTTCAGCATTAACTCAAAAGTCCACAGTTTGTGGACTCATCTGAGACAAGGCAAGTCCCTTCTGCCTGTGAGCCTGTAAAATCAAAGGCAAGTTTGTTACTTCCTAAATACATTGGGGGTACAGGCGTTGGATGAATACATTCATTCCAAATGGGAGAAATTGGCCAAAATGAAAGGACTAAAGGCCCCATGCAAGTCCAAAATCCAGCTTAACAGGCAAATCTTAAAGCTCCAAAATGATTGTCTTTGACTCCATGTCTCACATCCAGGTTATGCTGATGCAAGAGGTGGATTCTCATGGTCTTGGGCAGCTCTGCCCCTGTGGCTTTGCAGTGTACAGCCTCCCTCCTGGCTGCTTTTATGGGCTGGTGTTGAGTGTCTGTGGCTTTTCCAGGTGCATGGTGTAAGCTGTTGGTGGATCTAGCATTTTGGGGTCTGGAGGATGGTGGCCCTCTTCTCACAGCTCCACTAGGCAGTGCCCCAGGTGGGGACTCAGTGTGGGGGCTTAAACCTCACAGTTCCCTTCCACACTGCCTTAGCTGAGGTTCTCCATGAGGGCCCTGCCTCTGCAGCAAACTTTTGCCTGGACATCCAGGCATTTTTATACATCCTCCGAAATCTAGGTGAAGGTTCCCAAACCTCAATTCTTAACTTCTGTGCAACCACAGGCTCACCACCATGTGGAGGCTGCCAAGCCTTGGGGCTTGTAACCTCTGAAGCCACAGCCTGAACTGTACCTTGGCCCCTGTTAACCATATCTAGAGTGGCTGGGATGCAGGGCACCAAGTCCTTGGGCTGCACACAGCAGTGGGGGCCTGGATACCTACAAAACCATTTTTTCCTTCCAGGCCTTCAGGGCTGTGATGGGAAGGGGCTGCCCAAAGTTCTCTTACATGCCCTGGAGACATTTTTCCCATTGTCTTGGTGATTAATATTTGGCCCCTTGTTATGTATGAATATTTCTGCAGCAGGCTTGACTTTCTCCTCAGAAAAAAATCTTTTCTATCACATTATCGGGGTGCAAATTTTCTGAACTTTTATGTTCTGTTTCCCTTTTAAAACTGAATGCTTTTAACAGCACCCAAGTCACCTCTTGAATGCTTTGCTGCTTAGAAATTTCTTCCACTAAATACCCTAAGTCATCTCCCTCAAGTTCAAAGTTCTACATATCTCTAGGGCAGGGGCGAAATGCCACCACTCTCTTTGCTAAAACATAGCAAGAATCACTTTTACAGTAGTTCCCAATGAGTTCCTCATCTCTATCTGAGACCATCTCAGCCTGAATTTTATTGTCCATATCATTATCAGCAGTTTGGTCAAAGGCATTCAACAAGTCCCTAGGAAGTTCCAAACTTTCCCACATTTTTCTGTCTTCTTCTGAGCCCTCCAAACTGTCTCAACTGCTGCCTATTACCCAGTTCCACATTTTTGGGTATCTTTACGGCAGCACACCACCCTACTGGTACCAACTTACTGTGTTAGTCCATTTTCATGCTGCTGATAAAGACATACCTGAGACTGGGTAATTGATAAAGAAAAAGAGGTTTAATGAACTCACAGTTCCACATGGCTGGGGAGGCCTCAGAGTCATGGCAGAAGGGGAAAGGCATGTCTTACATGGTGGCGGACAAGAGAGAAAGGAGTGCCAAGTGAAAGGGGAAACCCCTTGTAAAATCATCAGATCTTGTGAGATATATTCACTACCACAAGCCCAGTACGGGGGAAACCACTCCCTGGATTCAATTATGTCCCACCAGGTCCCTCCCACAACATGTGGGAATTATGGGAGATACAATTCATAATGGGATTTGAGTTGGGATACAGCCAAACCATATCATACTCCTTATTTACAGGACGCATTAATTTGTCTTTTTTTGAGATATGATCTTTCTCTGTCAGTCAGGAAGGAGTGCAGTGGTGTGGTCATGGCTCACTGCAGCCTTGAACTCTGGGTTCAAGCCATCCTCCTGCCTCAGTCTCCCAACCAGCTGAAACTACAGGAATGCGCCACCATGTCTGGCTAATTGTTTTTAACTTTTTGTCATTGTTTTTAACTAATTGTAATTGTTTTTAACTAATTGCTTTTAACTTTTTGTAAAGATGGGGGTCTCACTATGTTGCTCTGGCTGGTCACAAACTCCTGGCCTCAAGTGATCGTTCTGCTGCAGCCTCCCAAAGTGCTGGGATTGCAGGCATGAGCCACCACACCTGGCCTAGATTATTATTTTCAGAGTCTTATTCTGAGAGCCATTTATTGACCTTGGCCTAAATAACTCAATATGATGTCCCTAAAACTTCTTTAGAAATTATTGGGCATGATCATGAAGGAAGGAGATTAGAAACTTTCTACTAAGAAATAACTTAGAGTCATTTAGGGAGGAACAAAAATAAGCAATCAGAAAAATAAAAGTGTAAGATCAAGTGCAAAAGTTCTGTGGCAAAGATGATAAAAGTAACTAATATATCTTTTTGACTCTTGGTGGCTTTAACTTTGTTCTTGATTTTCTGAGTAATTTAAGCGTTCACGTTGGAAGAATCTACCGCATTATAGATAACATTTTATTGCAAGTAAATGTATTTCAAAATTTGTTACTGGTTTTATAATAAAATAGTGTCAGCCTACTTCATTATCAAGCTGTACTATTTTATTTATGCAGTTTGATGAACTTACAGCAGAGCTGGAAACTATATCTTCAAAAATGTCTATATTTGGCTAAAAAGAATCAAGTTATTCAACAGGAGTTATTATCTATGAAAGAAGTACAACAGAAATGTAAAAAACTTGAGGAGGTTAACAAAATTTTGGAACAAGAAGTAGTGAATCTTAAGACACATGAAAAAAATATGGTAGAATTTGGTGACGTAGAAGAATGTAAATTGCAGTTGGAAGAAAGAGCAGGACAGGAAATAGAAAAATTAGAAGAAATCAATTTACAGGTTAGTTTTTTTAATCAGGTAGGTTTATCTGTAATGTGCTTTCATTTATTTCACTGCAAATTATAATATAGACATACAGTGTTTTGTCTGCCTCTCTTATAGGAATTTGCTTTGTAGAGTTTTAGAAAAAAAGGTGGCACCTGTTTCTTATTTTAAATATTTAAATTTCCATCATGATTATAACTAAGTTGATCTTTCAGAGTAGTGAGTTTCACTATACAGTCATTTGGTTATTAAAACCAGTTAGCATAAGACTATTAGAAAAAGAAAACTCTGATTTAAAATTATATGGTACTTTTGAATTGGTCTTACGCTACATTGTTCAGTTTTTAACATTTCCAATGGATTCTATTATTTTTAAATGATTAGATTACATGAACACTAACAAGAATGATTTCAAATTTTTATAATTCATATTTAATTCTGAATTCTGTTATCAATTTAGATGAAATTGCTAATAGATGTTTTAAACTTCAGCCCCTTTTTAAAACACATATTTAAAATTGCTTTCTGAATCACTGACTCAAAATGAAAGGCAACAAATAGAGACTAATTAGGTTATAATTGTTTTAAAAGTATGATTTTTTATTTGTTTTAGAAACAAGCAGAATATGAAAAACACAGCAGTTAAAAGAGAATAATATGGCTTTGATGAATAAAAGAGAACTCTGACTGAAAGACGTGGAATGTCAATTCTCCAAAATGAAAACCGCTTATGAAGAGCTTACTACGGAATTAGAAGAATATAAGGAAGTCTTTGCAATAACATTAAAAGCTAACAAATCCATGTCAAAAAATTTAAAGAAATAAGTCAAAACATACACTTGTAGAAAATCAATCAAGTTCATTAATTTGCCATGAAAGCATAATTTTTAGTGAGACAACTTCATGAGATTAGTAGGAAGTGAAAGCTATCCTGATAGTATAATTTTTGAAAATAATGCTAGTAAATAAACTTACATTTAAAATGTTAGTCAAGGACAGTTTCTGTCTCTTCCCTCATTTTTTTTTTAACTTTTGTATGGCCTTTTCCCCTGAAAAATCTTACGTAGTTAACCTAGTCTATTAGTCTTTTAGCATTTTTGAAGCTTTATGGTCAATAAAGTGATCTTGCTGTAAAATTACTTTTCAGAATTCTTCTAAATGGAAATATTAATGAATTTAATTTGTTTTTTAGTAGGTCACAATCTAAACTCAAAGTGCCCAAACTACTACTATTCTGGGCACGTCCTGGCATTTAGTAACTTAACTTTCCTGATTGTGATTTTTAGTATTATCACTAGAGGGCGCTTTGAGACAAACTTTTCTGTATAGTTTTTTCAGTCTACAGGAAGACATGCTTGTGAAATAGGGAATGATTATCCTAGGGATGAAAGAAAGTGTAATTTACAAAGTTGTTTAAAAATAACACCTTGGTCAGCCTGAAGGGGTGTGTGGAAGACAGAAAGGGCAAGCCCCACCTCCAGTGCCTTGGTCACAATGCTAAGGGCTGATTGCCTTCAGAGATGCTTTAGTTCTTTTTGATCACCAATCCAACCATCTAGTTCTCTCCTAGGAGTTCTTGCTCTGAATTATTTCTCAGTGTGAAATGCTTATTTTTTCCTAGATAATGGGTGAAATGTACAAGGGTGGTGAAAACAAATGTTTGAAAATATATTTAGGAGTGATTTCTAAAATCCTGAAACTGGTTTCTAAATACAAGTATTTCTAGCTTCTGTTTTTGTTTGTTTTTGTTTTTGTTTTAGTTTTCTTAATTGTATATTATTTAAGGCATACAACACGTTACTATATGTTTATTCATAGTGAAGTTGTTCTTATAGTCAAGCAAATTAACATATCATCTCACATAGTTACCTTTAAATACAAGTATTTCTTTTTTTTTTTTTAATTTTCCCGAGATGGAGTCTTGCTTTGTTGCCCAGGCTGGCGTGCAGTGGCGCAATCTCAGCTCACTGCAACCTCCGCCTCCCAGGTTCAAGCAATTCTTCTGCCTCAGCCTCCCAAGTAGCTAGGATTACAGGCGCCCACCACTGCACCTGGCTAATTTTTGTATTTTTAGTAGAGGCAGGTTCTCACCATGTTGGCCAGGCTGGTCTCGAACTCCTGACCCGGTGATCTGCCCGCCTCAGCCTCCCAAAGTGCTGGGATTACAGATATGAGCCACTGTGCCCAGCCTGAATACAAGTATTTCTAATGGCATCCTCAGAATCTTATAAGTACAGCCTTCTAGAAGGTAGCAAGCATTACCTATTGAGCCGTACATCGATAGCCATTTCTCTCTCCTTCCTACTTTGTTTGAATTACTTATTCACTAGAAATCTTCTTAGAAACATATGTGATTTTTTAAGAACGATTTTAAAATTATACTTGCTTATAACAGGTATGCTCTCACACATTTGGTGTTAAAACAGTTTAGTGGGTAATTTTGTTTGCTGTCAGGGCAATTTTTTAAAAATTGCAAATCATTTAGGAATCATTTAAGGAAAAATAAAATACTAGGCATTTGTTTTTTGCTATCTGTACAGATCAAATGAGATAATAGCAATGGTCAGCAGCAAGCTCCATATAGAGAAAGAGCAAATGAAATCTGTTCCCACCACTCTGCCTATGAGGCCAGACCCAGAGCCACCCTGGGTTGGAAATCTTAATAGTATAGGTCACAACAGAAAATATATTCCAAAACACCCATAAGGATCCCTACTTCAAGCCCATAGACTTCGAATAACAGCATGAACTGCTTGACTGAGGTTAGTTATATTACCTTTTCCCTTTTGGGTTTTGTTTTTCTAATATACTTCTTGTTTTTAATTTGGTGAAATACTGAGTCGTTCAATTGACTTATGCTTGTTAAGTGAAGGTCATAATTAGCTAATGCAGAAAGCAAATGGGAACTTTACGGTTTTTATAAGTCCTGGGAGCTCTCATTTTCAAGAGATACTTATTTGTTAACTTGATTCAATAAATGTAACTAAACTGACACATTTTAAATTGATTGAAAAACTGCATTTAAGTTAGGTTTTAGAAATTGCATGTTATTGCCTAATAACTAAAGGTAAGCTTTTTTTTTTTTTTTTGAGACAGAGTCTCACTCTGTCGCCCAGGCTGGAGTGTGGTGATGCAACCTCGGCTCACAGTGGTGCGATCTCGGCTCACTGCAACCTCTGCCTGCTGCATTCAAGCAATTCTCCTGCGTCAGCCTCCCAAGTAGCTGAGACTACAGGTGTGTGCCACCATGCTCGGCTAATTTTTTGTATTTTTAGTAGAGACGAAGTTTCACCATGCTGGTCAGGCTGGTCGCGAACTCCTGACCTCGTGATCCCCCTGCTTCAGCCTCCCAAAGTGCTGGGATTACAGGAATGAGCCACCGCGCTCAGCCACTTTGGCTTACTTTCTGATTGATTGTAGTTTTGGCTGCGGTTCATACCACTTTTAAAGTTTCTTTGCACTATCTCAAGTTTTCCATCCCTAATCACAGGGAAGCGGTGGGCATCCAAGCACTTAACCACATACGGATGTTTATTATTTAATGGAATCCAAAATAAACATCAAACACTAAAATATTTCTTTCCATTTTTATGTTAAAAGCTTTGTGGTTTTCTTTCTTTTTTTTTTTTTTTTTTGAGATGGAGTCTCCCTCTGTTGCCCAGGCTGGAGTGCAGTGAAGTGATCTTGGCTCACTGCAAGCTCCGCCTCCTGGGTTCACGCTATTCTCCTGCTGCAGCCTCCGGAGTAGCTGGGACTACAGGTGCCTGCCACCATGCCCGGCTAACTTTTTTGTATTTTTAGTAGAGACGGGGTTTCACCGTGTTAGCCAGTATGGTCTCAACCTCCTGACCTCGTGATCCTCCTGTCTTGGCCTCCCAAAGTGCTGGGATTACAGGTGTGAGCCACCTCGCCCGGCCCAAGCTTTGTGGTTTTCTTACATAAGAATACATTCTTTATTGCTATCAGACTTAACAGCACTTTTATTTCAACTTTTGTAGAATGTGTCTATTGCTGAGCAATTTTACAAGTTTTTAAATTATTAAATCAAGCACTATTTGCATTTTTAAAATGAAATTCACTTATGTCTCTACCTTGCCATCACTTGTGTGATTACTAAGGTGGCAGTGATATCAAGTCTTTTAATAGCAGCTGCAGCCCAGCAGAAGCAATTATATTAATCCAATTCAGAAGTTAATGCAGAGCCACACAGCATATTTCCATCTCCCCTGGGCTTGTAATAGAAAGCTTCCAATCCAACCATGTGATTTCACTCATAGTAAGAATCCATTTCTGGGAATCCCAAAATGAATCCAACAATAACAAGCTGTGTCAGATAAGGAAAAAATATATAGTTCAACTATGTTTGACCAAGTTGAAGATATTTGTCTCATGTTTAACTGTTTTTTGACTAAGAAAAAAATTTAAGAACCAGGTCCTGTGGCCCACACCTGTAGTCCCAGCTACTCAGGAGGCTGAGGCAGGAGGATGGCTTGAGCCCAGGAGTCCAGGGCTGTAGTGCCTCATGACTGTGCCTGTGAATAGCCACTGCACTCCAGCCCAGGCAACACAGTGAAACTGTCTCTTAAAGAAAAAAATTACAAACACCATAAAACAATGGTTTGAACAAAAATAAATAAATAGCAACCAGTTTTGCATATCATTGATATTAAAATATTCATTTCAATCAATACACATTCATTTACAATTTCCTTGGTGATTTCATAATCTCCTTAATGCAGAGAAAGGTAGCAAGTGGATGGGGCCAGCCTAAGGCACAGTGGAGGAAAAGGTGGTAAACTGCTGAGAGGTGTAGCAACTGTGAAATGGTAGCACAAGTCAGGCTTCTTGACCCAAACCTGGCTGGACCTGGGGAAGAAGTCAGACTGTTTGAGTTTGATCAGTCATACTGACGCATCCTTAATCAAACATAATTTCTGCAGCAAAATATATGGATATTTATAGTAACAGAATTAGATGTTATGAAGAGCCTTAGGTCAGTCCAGGTTTTGCTGCCAAAGAGTTTGTTGCAAAGTTTTAAAAGAAAGTTCAGTTTTTAAACCATATTTGGCTTTTGGAATTGCAGGTGAGGGGTTGTGGACCTGAAATTATAGTTAACACTTGGGAATCCAGGCCTGTTGTGTCTGCTTTACACACATTGGCTCTTACTGTTTTCACAATGCAATGAGGGTAGGTACCATGATGATCCCATTTTACAGGTGAAAGACAAGGGCACCAGGAAGTCTCTTTGGTAAGTGACTTTACAAAATCACACAGCTCGTCACTGGTGGCTCCATATTACACATTTTTCCTGGGCTACAGACTTGTGAAAGGGGGTCGGGAGAGATTGAGGGGCTGAGGTCTTTCTTGCACACCTCACGCACCTGGCATCTGCCTGCAGCGAGCCTGCCTTAGTGCCAAAAAGGTCAGAGCAGAAGGGGAGCTGGAGCCCCGCAGACATCACAATCACACTCTTGGATTTACTGAAGGCCCATGGGGACTCATGTCTGTGATTACTGGAGCTTATGATCTAATCAGGTGATAAGCTTCTCTCACAAGCCATAGAGGAATTTAAGTGTGATGTCCCGTGGACCAGAGGTGGTCAGAGACCCTGTGTATGGATAAGTTGGGATGCGGGCTGGCTGGGCCTTGAAGAAATTCAGGTAAACAACTTTATAAGGATTTTATAAAGAGATTCTTTATAAGGGACAAAGACTGTTACATGTGGAGATGACCTAATTTTATTCTTTTAGCTGTGCAAGATGTGTGTGTTCTGGAACATCACAGGTGAACATCCTTTGCTTGCGACTCCCTCATCACTGCAGAGCAGCATTCCCATCAGGCTCTGACTGGGTCAGCTGGAGAGTGTTCAGGTGTTTCTCTGCCAGTGTCCCTGTGCCTGTGTGCATTTGTGTGAGTGTGTAAAATATACATACCAAAATATATAAAATGCACAGGAACAGTTTAAAGAATAATGAACAACTCAGTTTAAGAAATTGAACCTTATGAAAACTTTATTTTTTATTTCCATGTTTTTGGGGAATAGGTGGTATTTGGTTACATGATTGTTTTTTGTTTTTTTTTTTTTGAGACAGAGTCTCTCTGTGTTGCCCAGGCTGGAGTGCAGTGGCCACTGCAAGCTCCGCCTCCCAGGTTCACACCATTCTCCTGCCTCAGCCTCCCCAGTAGCTGGGACTACAGGCACCTGCCACCATGCCCAGCTAATTTTTTGTATTTTTAGTAGAGATCCATGTTACTCAGGATGGTCTAGATCTCCTGACCTCATGATCCACCCGCCTCGGCCTCCCAAAGTGCTGGGATTTCAGGCATGAACCACCACACCCGGCCATGAGTAAGTTTTTTAGTGGTGATTTGTGAGGTTTTGGTGCACCCATCAACCAAGCGGTATATACTGAACCCAATTTATAGCCATGGCCTTCTCATCCTTTCCCCTGGAGTCACCAACATCCATTGTATCATTCTTTACCTTTGCATCCTCATAGCTTAGCTCCCACTTATGAGTGAGAACATACGATGTTTGGTTTTCCATTCCTGAGTTACTTCACTTAGAATAATGGTTTTCAATTCCATCCAGGTTGCTGTGAATGCCATTAATTCATTCCTTTCTATGGCTGAGTAGTATTCTGTCTTATGTATATACCATAGTTTCTTTAGTCACTCATTGATTGATTGGCATTTAGGCTGGTTTCATATTTTTGAATTGTGCTGCTATAAACATGCATGTGCAAGTATCTTTTCTCATATAATGACTTCTTTTCCTCTGAGTAGATACCCAGTAGTGGGATTGCCAGATCAAATGGTAGTTCTACTTTTAGTTCTTTAAGGAATCTCCACCCTGTATTCCATAGTGGTTGTACTAGTTTACATCCCCACCAGCAGTGTAGAAGTGTTCCCTTTTCATTGCCTCCTGGCCAACATCTGTTATTTTTTTATTTTTTTGTTTATGGCCATTCTTGTTGGAGGAAGACGGTATCGCATTGTGGTTTTGATTTGCATTTCCCCGATCATTAGTGATGTTGAGCATGTTTTCCATATGTTTGTTGGCCATTTGTATAAATTCTTTTGAGAATTGTCCTTAGCCCACTTTTTGAGGGGATTTTTTTTTCTTGCTAATTTGTTTGAGTTCATTGTAGATTCCGGATAGTAGTCTTTTTTATTCTATATATTTTGAACTTATTAGGTGCACACAACTTAAAAATTACTATATTTTCCTGATTAGGCAAATCTTCTCTCACTGTAAAGTGACCCTCTTTCTCTGATTTTTTTGTTTTTATTTTATTTTACTTCATTTTTATATTTTTAATTGTAAAAAACATACAGTTTACCATTTTAACCATTGAAGTGTACAGTTTAGTAGTACTAAGGATAATTACATTATTGTGCAGCCAATCTCCAGAACTTTTTTGTCTTGCAAAACTGAAACTATACCCATTAAACATTGACTCCCATTTCTCCTCCACAGCTTCTGTTAATCTGTTAATTAAAGGGACTACTTTAATTACCTCATGTAAGTGGAATTAAACACCGTTTCTCTTTTTGTAGTTGGCTTATTTCACTTAGTATAATGTCCTCAAGGTTTATTTATGTTGTAGTCTGTAACAGGATTTCCTTTGTTTTAAGGCTGAATAATATTCCATTGCATCTATCAATTCCATTCATTCATCAGTTGACACTTGAGTTGCTTCTGTCTCTTGGCTATTGTGAATAGTGCTGCTTTGAAAATGCACTGTAGGCCAGACGCAGTGACTCACACCTGTAATCGCATCACTTTGGGAGGCCCGAGGCAGGCAGATCACGAAATCAGGAGATCAAGACGATCCTGGCTAAAACGGTGAAACTCCGTCTCTACTAAAAATACAAAAAATTAGCCGGGTGTGGTGGCGGGCGCCTGTAGTCCCAGCTACTCAGGAGGCTGAGGCAGGAGAATTGCTTGAACCTGGGAGGCAGAGGTTGCAGTGAGCTGAGATCGAACCACTGCACTCCAGCCTGGGCAACAGAGACTCCATCTCAAAAAAAAAAAAGAAAATGCGCTATAGACATATATTTCTGAGTTCCTGCTTTCAGTTCATTGGTTCAACATAGTATTGGAAGTCTTAGCCAGAGCAATTACTGAGAAAAGTAGAAGCCATCCAAATTGGAAAGCAGTAAGTACAACTATCTGTGTTTGCAGATGACATGATCTCATATGTAGGAAACTCTAAAGATTCCACAATTGCAGAATTGCAGCAATTTGTATTTGCAGCAAAATTACAGCAAACCCATCAACCCGTCACCTACATTAGGTATTTCTTCTAATGCTATCCCTCCCCTAGTCCCCACCCCCTGCAGGTCCTGGTGTGAGGTTCCCCTCCCTATGTCCATGTGTTCTCATTGTTCAGCTCCCACTTATGAGTGAGAACTTGTGGTGTTTGGTTTTCTGTTCTTGTGATAGTTTGTTGAGAATGATGGTTTCCAGATTCATCCATGTCCCTGCAAAGGACATGAACGCATCCTTTTTTATGGCTGCATAGTATTCCATGGTGTATATATGCCACATTTTCTTTATCTAGTCTATTATTGATGGACATTTGGGTTGGTTCCAAGTCTTTGTTATTGTGAATAGTGCTGCAATAAACATACGTGTGCATGTGTCTTTGTAGTAGAATGATTTATAATCCTTTGGGTATATATGGGATTGCTGGGTCAAATGGTATTTCCAGTTCTAGATTCTTAAGGAATCGCCACACTGTCTTCCACAATGGTTGAACTAATTTACACTCCCACCAACAGTGTAAAAGCGTCCCTATTTCTCCACATCCTCTCCAGCATCTGTTGTTTCCTGACTTGTTAATGATCCCCATTCTAACTGGCATGAGATAGTATCTCATTGTGGTTTTGATTTGCATTTATCTAATGACCAGTGATGATGAGCATTTTTTCATATGTCTGTTGGTTGCATAAATGTCTTCTTTTGAGAAGTGTCTGTTCATATCCTTTACTTTTTGATGGGGTTTTTTCTTTTCTTGTAAATTTGTTTAAGTTCTTTGTAGATTCTGGATATTAGCCCTTTGTCAGATGAGTAGATTGCAAAAATTGTCTCCCATTCTGTAGGTTGCCTATTCACTCTGATGATAGTTTCTTTTGCTGTGCAGAAGCTCTTTAGTTTAATTAGATCCCATTTGTCAATTTTGGCTTTTGTTGCCATTGCTTTTGGTGTTTTAGACATGAAGTCTTTGCCCATGCCTATGGCCTGAATGGTATTGCCCAGGTTTTCTTCAAGGATTTTTATGGTTCTAGGTCTTACGTTTAAGTCTTTGATCCGTCTTGAGTTGATTTTTGTATAAGGTGTAAGGAAGGGGTGCAGTTTCAGTTTTCTGCATATGGCTAGCCAGTTTTCCCAACACGATTTATTAAATAGGGAATCTTTTCACTGTTGCTTGTTTTTGTCAGGTTTGTCAAAGATCAGATGCTAGTAGATGTGGATGTTGTTTCTGAGGTCTCTATTCTGTTCCACTGTCTGTAGATCTGTTTTGGTACCAGTACCATGCTGTTTTGGTTACTGTAGCCTTGTAGTAGAGTTTGAAGTCAGGTAGCATGATGCCTCCAGTTTTGCCCTTTTTCCCCAGAATTGTCTTGGCTATGTGTGCTCTTTTTTAGTTCCATATGAAATTTAAAGTAGTTTTTTCCAATTCTGTGAAGAAAGTCAGTGTTATCTTGATGTGGATTGCACTGAATCTATAAATTACTTTGGGCAGTGTGGCCATTTCCACGATATTAATTCTTCCTATCCATGAGCATGGAATGTTTTTCCATTTGTTTGTGTCCTCTTTTATTTCCTTGAGCAGTGATTTGTAGTTCTCCTTGAAGAGGTCCTACACATCCCTTGTAAATTGTATTCCTAGGTATGTTGTTCTCTTTGTAGCAACCGTGAATGGGAGTTCACTCATGATTTGGCTCTCTGCTTGTCTGTTATTGGTGTATAGGAATGCTTGTGATTTTTGCACCTTGAGTTTCTATCCTGAGACTTTGCTGATGTTGCTTATTAGCTTAAGGAGATTTTAGACGGAGACGATGGGGTTTTCTTTTCTTTTTTTTTTTTTTTTTGAGACGGAGTCTCACTCTGTCACCCAGGCTGGAGTGCAGTGGCGCGATCTCGGCTCACTGCAAGCTCTGCCTCCTGGGTTCATGCCATTCTCCTGCCTCAGTCTCCGGAGTAGCTGGCACCACAGGCTCCCGCCACCGCGACCAGCTAATTTTTTGTATTTTTAGTAGAGATGGGGTTTCACCGTGTTAGCCAAGATGGTCTCCAACTCCTGACCTTGTGATCCACCCGCCTCGGCCTCCCAAAGTGCTGGGATTACAGGCATGAGCCACCGTGCCCAGCTGAGACAATGAGGTTTTCTAAATATACAATCATGTCCTCTGCAAGCAGAGACAATTTGACTTCCTCTTTCCATATTCGAATTCAATTTATTTCTTTCTCTTGCCTCATTGCCCTGGCCAGAACTTCCAATACTATGTTGAATAGGAGTGGTAAGAGAGGGCATCCTTGTCTTGTGCTGGTTTTCAAAGGGAATGCTTCCAGTTTTTGCCCATTCAGTATGATATTGGCTATGAGTTTGTCATAAATAGCTCTTGTTATTTTGAGATACATTCCATCAATACCTAGTTTATTGAGAGGTTTCAGCATGAAGGGCTGTTGAATTTTGTCGAAGGCCTTTTCTGCATCTATTGAGAAAATCATGTGGTTTTTGTCTTTGGTTCTGTTTATGTGATGGATTACATTTATTGATTTGCATATGTTGAACCAGCCTTGCATCCCAGGGATGAAGCTGACTTGATCATGGTGGATAAGCTTTCTGATGTGCTGCTGGACTCAGTTTGCCAGTATTTTGTTGAGGATTTTTGCATCGATGTTCATCAGAGATATTGGCCTGAAATTTTATTTCTTTGTTGTGTCTCTGCCAGGTTTTGGTATCAGGATGATGCTGGCCTCATAAAATGAGTTAGGGAGGATTCCCTCTTTTTCTATTTTTTGGAATAGTTTCAGAAGGAGTGGTACCAGCTCCTCTTTGTACCTCTGGTAGAATTTGGCTGTGAATCCATCTGGTCCTGGACTTTTTTTGGTTGGTAGGCTATTAATTGTAGCCTCAATTTCACAACTTGTTATTGGTTTATTCAGGGATTTGACTTCCTCCTGGTTTAGACTTGGGAGGGTGTATGTGTCCAGTAATTTATCTGTTTCTTCTAGATTTTCTAGTTTATTTGCATACATGTGTTTATAGTATTCTCTGATGATAGTTTGTATTTCTGTGGGATCAGTGGTGATATCGCCTATATCCTTTTTTATTGCATCTATTTGATTCTTCTCTCTTTTCTTCTTTATTAGTCTGGCTATCAGTCTATTTTGTTGATCTTTTCAAAAAACCAGCTCCTGCATTCATTGATTTTTTTTTGAAGGGTTTTTTGTGTCTCTATCACCTTCAGTTCTGCTCTGATCTTGCCACCAGCCCACCTCGCATCATCGTTTACATGGAAATGTTGGGACTGAGGTGACCTCATGCCTCTCAGTTCCCAGCCAGCTTTCTCTCCCTCTGGCTCTTAGCCAGCCTGTTAAACAGAAAATAATCAGACAAATAAAAAACACCCTAGTGTTCTAGCAAGTTACACATAATTGCTTGCTTACCAATTGTCTACCTCAGAACTTTCTTTTCCTCATAGGGTCAATATAATCATCTATTTTAAATTTGGCTTTTGCCATTTTACAGTCCAAGATGCAGGACTTTGCATAGGGCACAGATGGATTTCCATAGTCAGCATGAGGATGGGAGGAGGACAGGGCAGATCCAGACCCACTCAGTGAGAGCTCTGGCTGGAGTTACTTGGCTGGACCTCACTCCCGAGAGAGGAGACCTTCCTCTGGACCAGCTACCAAGACAGCTCCTAGTTGGAAAATGTTTTCTTCTAAGGTGAGATGCAGCCCCCACTGGACAGGAAAACACCAGACAGTTTTAAAAAGGAAAAACCAAGGTAAGCCGTGGAGCTTCTTGACGGGGGACACAGCAGAGTCCACCCAGCTGGGGTGAATCTCCACGGTTCCCCAGTGGGACGGCGTGCAGGAGTCCCAAGTCACTGACCCCTGCAGCGTGGGAGCAGCATGAGCCATCTGCAGTGACATTGTCTCCTCCGGCAGCAGCCTCCATCCAGAAATCCATCTCAGGGTCTGTCCTCACAGGAACCTGATGCCAGAGCTGTGCACTGAAAGGATTTGGACACAGGTATTTTGTGGAACTGAGCATTTTCCAGGTCTTGCTGGAGGTCATTCTGTGTGAACTTGATGGAGATCTTTCTCATGCGCTGTTTTCCTAAGTGTGGGAGAGCATGGCCTGCATGACTGCTGGCTTCCAGCACGTGGCGTGCAAACCCATGCCAGAGTGTGTAATTCACTGTAGCCCTTGACAGAATAGCAGGGGATAAAGCTTGTTTTTTAATCTTCTGTTTATTACCCTCAGCCAATTAACTTCTATCTATAGTAGAAGATATTTTGCCAAATTTTTTTTTTCAAAATGGAGAAATACCTTGCTCTTAAGGCTTTTAGAAGCACAGACTTCTCAATTTCATTACATTAAAATCACTAAAAGATAGAAAAAAGTGAAATTCACATATCAAAAGAAATTCTCTTTTGTCATAATACTCTATTTTCATTTGAAATGTTTGTGAATTTTCCATGCATGTGTCCAGATGCATAGGGAGTTTATTCAGTCAATTAAGTTAAAACATTAGATAACATGGTAAATTCAAAAAGTAGTGAAGACACATTTTGTTTCTGTCTCTTTAACTGAGAAAACTGGTTGATGCCTCCTGTGTGCGAGCACCGTGTAGCTGATGCAGATACAGAAACCGAGGTTTTCTTACTTGCTGCCACTGGCCCTGGCACTGGAGGTTGGCTCTGGGAGGGCAGGGTATCTGTTTTTATTACCACTCAGCAAGTGCCACACAAATATACACGGGTGTCTCTGCCCTCTAGTGGATCCTGGCAGGCACTGGGAGCAAATGTGACTAAAAAAAGTGAAAGATTTAAAAAATACCCATTATCTCCAGAGGGGATTTAATTCTAACAGGGGACTTTTTTTTTTTTCTTTTTCAAATGGGCTGATGGGTAAAAATAATGCAAGACTGGAGATGTTGGAAAAAAGCACACTGCATTTGCCTTTCAGCATCTGTGATGACTGAGTCCTTCCTCAGCGCTGCCACAGGGAGCACATTCACATGTGTGTCACACACATACCAGGGTTAGGTCAGAAGACCAAGTGTTACCTGGAGGAAGCCACAAAGGCTATGAGACCAAGCCTTCACCTGGAAGACACTTGATAGTTCAGAAGCCGAGATCCTGCGAGGTGTCTCAGAGAGCTCAGCTGTGACCCTGCACTGTATGGAAGGGCAGGCAGTGGGGCCCAGGCAGGTGAAGAGGATTGTCCACTGTTGAGCATCATCAGCCTAAAACCCACATGCAATGCTATTGCTGCAAAACCGCTGACTGTTGAAGCCACAAACCACAGAAACAGACTACCTTTATGGTCCTCACTGTGCAACTGGTGACTTTTCAGAAGATGAAGATTAAACATATTAATCATAAATTCAAAGCATCAGAAGAAATACTAGGAGGTTTTCTAACCTCTGCTACCATGACTTTTCTTTTTGGCAAGATTTGTGAATTATTGTAAATAAGCTCACAGAGGCCAAAGTGCTCCCCTGAGTCATCCAGAAAGAGGCAGGCTGCTAATCCCCACATCTGAGACATCTGTGTTTTCTTAGGATAATAAAAAATTAAAGATAAGGGAAAGAGAGAAGGACAGAAAGAGACAGAGAGACAGAGAGACAGAGAATTGGAGCTAAGAGGAAACATTTTCAGGTTTTGCCCCCCAGAATTCCCAGTGAACAGTCCCATTGCCAGCGGGTGAAATCCCATGCCCTGGCTCCAGGATCCTGCTCTTTCGTTTGGTGACTCCTGTGCAGATTTGGCACTGAAACAATATGGAACTTGTTACACTTCTCTGGACAAGTCATTTTGCTTTCGGCTCACAGGCTCCACTTCCCTGGACACCCCTTCACCCTAAGCTTCAAGTAATTCAGCTTCACCCTTCAGAGAAGAGCTCAGGTGTCACTTCCTCTAAGGACCTCCCCAGCTGCCTCTCCAGCAGAAGGGCCCCCACCTTGCCCTTTGCACATCTGTCCCTCAAGGTGCTGCTGTCCTCTGTGGAGGGTGGGATCCCGGGAACTAGAGCCCCTCTCCTGCTGGAGACACTCGGCACTCAGAAAGTGTGTGCTGAGCGGATACAAGTGTGGCAAGCTTGCACAGTCTTACAATGTGTAATCTCATGTCTGAAATAGATCCCCATTTTCATTCTTGGTAAAATGAGTAAGTGGGGCTGGGTGACCCATACTCTCTTTTCAACTCAGAAGTCCACATTGAGCCTGACATCAAATAGCTTCCCAGCCAGTGCCAGGCCAGGACCTAGTTTGTTCAATGTGCCTGTGTCCCCTACAGAGTTGGAAAAGCATGGAGAAATGGGACCAGCTCTGCTGCCTGCTGCCCAGTGCCAACCAGCAACTCCAGGCTCACAAACCCAAGGCAAAGGCACCTGCAGGAGATCTTGGTTATTCATTAGCTGTGATTGGGCTGGGAGGGGAGTGTGTTCACTTCTAATTTTCCAGGGACTAGCATGAGACAGTAAAGTTTGAAATGTGGAGTTTTTTTGTCTTGGCCAAAAAAAAAAAAAAAAAAAAAAAAGACCTTTTTACCTTCTCATCCTTGGAGCCACTGGCATTAGCTATGGGCCTGATAGTTTAAGAAAACTTGAAAGTGAACTATGTGAACCAGTATTCTCCAAAGTAATATTTTGATAAATAGTGTAATTCTTTATTACAGCAAAGCCATTGCTTAAGTGGGCAAAACTCTAGAGGATAGGAAAACACACTCTTGAAAAAAGGTGGTGATGCCCTGAAATTCAGCAAACTGCAGGGACACGTGTTGTTCTACCCCAGGTCAGAATGTGTCAGTCATCACTCGATGCCACTCACAGACCACCAACTTCAGAATATCTAGGTGTAAATTTCTGTACAAAAGTCTTAACATAACAATGTAAATAATTTCACATTATGATTAATAAATTAGTATTTGTATTACACTATTACATAATATAAAAGCTATTAAAACATATTTGTCCTCAAAGAATGGCCTTGGTTTCTTTGGGCAGTGTCTCCTCATGGAAAGGTAGTGCATTCCTGCTAAGTCATGGACAAAACTGGCCTCCAGGAGCTGCAAGCTGCAGCAGCAGCTTCTCATCTACGTCCGTCACTACATGATACTGTTGTTGACTTTGAAAGCTTCTTTCAGTCTAGTTTTATCAACAGAGCTAGTATTTCATGAGGATCTACTACATACCAGGTTCCAGAAAGCTAAATGCCTTTTGCTTGTTATTACTCACTAAATACAAACCACAACTCTCTTCTCATTACTCACACAACAAAATTTAGCTGAGGGAGATTGAGTGACTTTCCCAGGGTCGCACAGTTACTAAGAGCAGAGCCGTGTTTAGATTCATGTGGGAATACTGAACGCTGAAATGAACGAGCAGAAATATCCTACGTTCCAAAAGCCTACTCAAGCCATTTGTTCTTAAGGAAAATCTTTATGCTAATTTTAAGCTCCAAATACTTATGAATGGCAGAGATCTACAGATTTCATTCTGATGTAAGAGATGATGCTCACCAGCTGGTTACTGCTACCACCCCACAACCCCGAGCATACTGGACAAATCTCTAAGCCTCGTTGTTAGTGCAGACAATGCTGGTGGAGTCTGAAGTTGTCATGCAGTGACTCACTCAAGCTTAGGCAGATTTGATGATATATGACACAGAGATGCAAAGAAATGCTGTAGCTGACACACAGAGGCTGGCTCTGGGAGATGCAGAAGGAGCATGTCACCCAAAATAAAGCCAGACAGACATCCTTAAGGAAGGAGCAAAGGGGCTGCATCTTAAAGAATGAAGAAGAGATTTGTCATGAGAGATGGGACAGGAAGTTCTTGAGAGGCAGAGGGAGAGCATGAGAATGTCGGGAAGGGAGGAGAGATTCTTGCACATCTGGGAAGCTGACAATCCATCGGCATTGTCAGAAGGAAAATAAGGAGGAGGAGTGGAAATAATAAAAGCAGGGCTGTGTGTTGATTGTGGTAAAGAGTTGTGATTCTATCCAGAAGGCAATAGGTAGCATTCTAAAGAGAGATCTTCTAAAACAAGAGTCAGCAAATATTTTCTGCAAAGGGCTAAATGTTAAATATTTCAAGTTTTCCAAGCCATGTTGTCCCTCTCTCAATGACTCAGCTCTTCCATTATACCATGAAAGTAGCCAGAGACATTGTATAACACATGTATGTGGCTGTGTCCCATTACAACTTTACTTACAAACGCAGACTGTGTCAGACCTGGCCCATGCATGGTAGTTTGCCACACCCTGTTTTAGAAAGCTCAGGTTTATGATGTGATGGAGAATGCCTACAAGAGCTCTTGTTTTAAATGGTAGAGTGAACATACACTGGAATTCTATCCTGCTTGACCCAAGCTCTTGATAGCGAAAGGTAGAAAAGATAGATGGTAAATAGATAGATAGATGATAGATAAAGAAAATACATAGCTGTTCCAGAAAACAGAAATGGATAACTTCATGAACCAAAAGCAGAGTAATATACTTTAGAAAGGGAGCAGGCTGGAAAACTCACAGTTGCAAAGCAAATAGAATTTCCAACTGCCTCTTGTAGCCCCTTCCTGGAAGTAGTCACAACCCAGGGTGTTTCGACTTCTTCCCCTGTTTTTTGTTTGTTTGCTGTTTGCTTTTTTGTGGGTTTTTGTTGTTGTTGTTTGCTTTTTTAAAAAAAATTCCCTTTCCCTGCTTTTTTGTCACAGCAGTCTTTGTCACTTCAAACACCACAAGTTTTCTTTTTCAAAAAATTATATCAACCTTTCAATTAAAATGCAACATGTCTGAAACTTGATATCTAGAGAGGTGATATGGACAAAGGAGCCCTTGTTACTGCACGTTTCTGTTCTCCAGACTTCACCTTGCACACAAGAACAGACAATGCACAAAACCACTTCCTTATGGACTGAAATTCTGAAATCCTTTTATGACTGGCGTTTCCTAACCCTTCAACTTCCCCTCTCCCATGCTGTGAATGATTGTATTGGACATTTTTGTTTTAATCTCAGTGACAGGGGAACACAGGTAGCTCTAATATAGCTGTGACCCAGATGCTTCTGTTTCTACCATGTATTTATTTTGTAGCAAACATTTACATCCATCGTTTTTCACTGTCTTTTGAAAATAATTAGGGAATATCTCATCTGAGGTAGGATGTTTCTAGTGGTTGTGTTCTGAAGGAGGAAAAACTAATCTGTTCTCTTTCCACTGCATTCCAGGAACAGTGAGAGGACCTTGTGCATGAATAATTTGTTTCCACACTACAGAGTGGGTAATAAGCAGATTAGTAAAAACAATTCTGCTTCACTTCAATAACAGCCTCCTCCAACTCATTTTTTCTCAACAAACTTATTTTTCCAGCAGAATAATCCCAGACTTCTTAAGAGAACCCAGTGACTTTTCGCACCTTAAATCTGTGAAATCCTGTTTTCTTACGCCATATGCATAGTTCAAACATACAAAGATGATGCAAAGCCAGACGCATTCCTGAAGGAGCCTAAGAAATTCCTCTCTTTCTGTCTCTGGAATGAAATGAATTCTCTAGACCATCAGTTCTAACCTTCAGAAACCAAACCTGTTTGTGAGATCTCCTTCAAATGCTACTGTAGACTCCAGTGTTTATTCATTAAATTTTTAAAGTATTTGTTTTATTTGGAATCAGTTTATTTGTAATTTTAGTATTTGTATTAATACAAGGGAGAAATGTTTAAGTCTGTCTATGCCATATATGCCTCTGGCTTATTGCCCAATTAATTGTAGCCTCAGGCTAAACTTTGGTTTCTGTTTTTATTTTTTTCAGGACAAATATAACTGATCTCAAAACATCTGCTTTTATTGTAGGGGCTTGTGCTGCCATCTCCATTCCTCTCTCTTTTCTTGCAATCTGGGTGGAAGTTCTTTAATATGAACATTTCAACCACCTTCATTCTACCATGTCCACTATCAGCACATTCAAGCTTATCCAGCCAAGGCTGTCATCTTAGGCCAGGGATTTTTTAGGAATCTATTTTGCTGTGATGCAGCTGGTACCCCTTTGATTCACTTTATCACTCCAGGGTTTTTTTTCATTTTAGGAGCCCAAGAAGGCAGAAAAAGAAGTAGGTGAGCAATTAAACCCTCTGAGTAGGAGCGTCTCCCCTTGCGTTAAACAATGTTGTAGAACATCGTATTTAGTAAGCTCCTAGCAGATGAGCCACGTGGCTGCTGTGCACACACGCCTGCTTGCTGCTGTGAGCTCAGACACCATCATTAGTCTTTTGCATCTCTGGAGGGAATTATAAGGACCACTTAATAACCTGTGAATCATAGAGAGTTAAAGGTGTTTCCCCAAAACACTGATGACAGAATGAAAGGTGAGGAGTGTTAGCCACAGGTCAAAAGTGCAAGAAAGTCTCTCAATGTGGGTTGTTGAAGAAATGCAGGTCTTTTTTCTTTTGGAAGTCTCCCTAGAATGGGGTCAAGGACTCTGCCCATTCTAGGATGAAAAACTGGGATATTAGACACCCTCAGTTATTTATTCCAAGCCTTCATTTTGGGCTCTTAATTAGTTTATTCAACCATCACAATCTCAAATGCTAGCAAAGCTGAGAACTCAGTTTTGAAATTTACTCTTGGGTCCCCTCAGCCAAGAGTGGGTCTGTTCAGTCAGTTGGGAGCTTAGGATTTCATTTTCATTTATCATTGCTAATGGGAAAGAGTACGCTGTCTTCATGGCAGCTGAATTTGCAAGAAACTCCTTGGATGGGGTTAATGGCAGCTGTATTTTTCTGGGAGCTCTGCTTTAACTGGATAAAGTAAGTTCTGCTAAGATTTCTTCCTTTATCTTCAGTATCTCAAATGCTTTCATTTAAATAATCTTTATAACAACTTTTGATGTCTGAGTGGATTCCCACACAGTCATCTATTGTAAGACTTTCTGATTCCTTTTTTTTCCTTTGTTCATTATGAATAAGGCTTCTGTAAATAATTGCATGGTAGCTTTTGTTTGGAAATAGCATCAAAGTAGTTGTCAAAATACTTAGGAATGTGATTTTTGGATTGTAAGGTGAAACTTGTTTAGCTTTGGAAAAAAGTGCCCAACTTGTAATAGGGGAGGAAAAATAATTTTCTATGTTTTTGGAATTCTGAGATGGGACCCTCTGTAAAAACTGACAGATTAAAATGAGAAAAACAGAAAAGTTTAAAAACATGTATACCTTATGGATACATGGGAGATACTCAGGGCAAAATGAGTAAATCTCCAACAGGTGGCTTTCAATTCAAGCATAAATACTATGTTGAACTTAAAGAAAGAAGATTTGAGGTGCAGTAGTGGGGAGTTAGCCAGCAAAAGCACAGTAGACAAGGGTAAGGTTTGTTATACAGACTTAAGTCCATGCAGTCTCCATTGATAAGACTCTTTAGTGATTTAGTTATCCTTCTCTTCTTGGTGTTGAGAGAGGTAGCTTTTGAATGGGGATTTCCTTTATAGATGTAAATTTCCCTTACACAAGGGTAACTTCTACTCTGTTTTCAGAACTTCCTTTGTTAGCATTTTTTTTTTTCAAAATAATCAGCTTGGAATAATTCTTAAGCAAAAGGGACATATTTTGGGGTGGCATATTCTGGTTTCCTACCATTATATTTTGGGGTGGCATATTTTGGTCTTATACACTGTGTTCCACCGGCAATGAAAAGAGTTCTTGTTTTTCCTCCAGCAATTTGTCATTTTTTAAAGAGTTTAGCAGTTCTAAGAGATGCAGACCAGCTGTGCTATCTCATTGTGGTTTTCAGTTCTCTAGCATGTTGAGCATGTTTTTGTATGTTTACCTGCCATCTGTAGATCTTCCTTGGTAAGATGTCTGTTGAGATCTGTGTGCCTTTTTAATTGGGCTGTTTAACTTATTGTTTAGTTTTAAGAATTTTTAAATATATTTTGAATACAAATTCTCAGATCTGTATTTTGCAAATATTTTCTTCAATATGTGGCTTGTCTTTTTGTTATCTTAACAAGGTCTTCTCCAGAGTATAAACTTTAAATATTAAGAAATCCACATTGTCATTTCTTCTGTGTATATCAACCTTTTGTGTCATTTGTTAAAATTCATTACCAAACCCAAAGGCACATAGCTTTTCTTCTATAGATTCTTCTAGAAATGGTATAGTTTTGCATTTTTAGTGTAAGGATGATTTTGAGTGATTATTTGTGTAAGTTGTAAAGTTTTCATCTACATGCATATCATTTCCTATGGTTTCCAATTAATCCTTCCATCACTATTTTTGGGAAACACACAGGATAGTGGGCTCTGTTAGAGGAGATAGATAGCTAGACATGAACAGGAGGGGGAGCTCCTGGAAAAGGGAAAGTCTGAGAAGGCTCACCTGGAGGGACCACCAAAAATGCACATATTAGTAGCATCTCTAGTGCTGGAGTGGATGGGCACTTGTCAGTTGTGGGTAGGAGTGCGAAGAGGTACCTATGCAGAAAGAAAAACCCTAGAACTCTCTTTAAGATGCCCCAACCATCATTCACTCTGCAATAAAAATGTCAGAATATTGGTAGCTACATGCTGATAAGAAGGACAAAGGGGACATTCTTAAGAGAAACCTGGCACCCTAAGTGCAGATTAGGGCAAAGAAGGACATTCAAAAGAGATAGGCAGGCACACTGGGTACAAACGTGACCGCTGTCAGCCTGCCTGGGATGGCGGGAAGGAGGCTGGTGCCAGAGTGGATTCGGATTGATCACCACACATGTACCTCAACCAACAGTGAGGAGGTCCCACAAGCCTAAGTGTGGCAAGTCGGGGACCTAAGGCAGTAGCAGGAAAACCAGACAAAGAGAACAGGTGGAGACTTGAGACAGAGGCAGGAATGTGAAGAAGTCCAAAATAAAATTCCCTGCACAGGACTCCTAGGATGTTTTCATGCACGATCAGCCCACTCCTCCCTATTTTTCTACAATGAGCTCTTTACACTGTATTTCTTTTCAATGAAGTTGTCTCCCATTTTTGTACTGCCTCTTGGTGAAAATCTTTCTTCCAAGTTAGACAAGAACTGGGACATCAGCTCTCCCTAGTACTAGCTCCGTTTCAGTTGAATTTACAGAACTGATGGGGCTTAAAAACTGATGCTCTGACTTTAAGTGGTGCAGGAGGCAGCCAGTAGGGGACGCCAACCGTCACACTGGGAGCAAGAGAGCCCTGCCTAGTCCCCATCTGCCTGCAGGTGGCGTGCTGCCTCGACACTGCCACCAAGAGGGCCAGGCAGTGTCTCCAGCTGCCAGCAGGTGGCGTACGACGACTACACTGTGAGCAACAGGGCCCTGCAGTGTCCTTAGCTGCCAGCAGGTGTCATACGGGCACCACACCATGAGCAAGAGGACCCCGCAGTGCCCTGGTTGCCAACAGGGGGCGTGCTGCCACTACACTGTGAGCGAGAGGTTCCTGTAGTGCCCCCAGGGGCCAGAAGAGGGCGTGCCCCCACTGCACTGCAAGCAAGAGGGCCCGGCAGTGTCCCCAGCTGCCAGCAGGGGGGTGTGCTGCCACCACACTGTGAGCAAGAGGACCCTGCAATGTCCCTAGCTGCCACCAGGCGGCGTGCAGCCGCTATACTGTGAGCAAGAGGGCCCTGCATTGCCCCGGCGCCAGCAGGGGGCGCTGGCCACCACTATAAGCAACAGAGCCCTGCAGCTGCCCTAGTCGCCAGCAGGGGGCGCACTGGCACAGCACCGTGACCAAGCGGGTCCTGTAGTGCCCAGCTGCAAGCAGGGGGCGGTCGAGCCCGGCTTTTCGAATTACTGAGGTTCCACCCGTCTCCGCGCCTGCACCGCGCCCCACCCCCAGCACAGGGGCGTGCGACTGTGCTCCTGCACCACGCCACCCCAACCCCCGCCCGGCGGCGTGCTCTCTGCGCATCCACCGCGCCTCCCGCGCGCACGTCGCGTCAGTCTGTGCGTGCCCGCGCCGGCGCGGGGTGCCTTTGCGGGGGCAGAGCTGCGTTCTGCTTAACACAGACCCGGGGGACACCAAAAACGCGGAGCAGCTTTCTCAGCACACACCTTGGGGGCACGGCCTCGCTTTGGGACAACTCAGGGCAGCATCGACGGTGAACAAAATCCTTTCTGTTTGCAGCCCTGAATAATCAGGGTTAGGGTTAGGGTTAGGGGTTAGGGTAGGGTTAGGGTTAGGATTAGGGGTTAGGGTTAGGGTTAGGGTTAGGGTTTAGGGTTAGGGTTAGGGTTAGGGTTAGGGTTAGGGTTATTGGTTAGGGTTAGGGTTAGGGGTTAGGGTTAGGAGTTAGGGTTAGGGGTTAGGGTTAGGGTTCAGGTTCGGGGTTCGGGTTGGGGTTGGGTTTGGGGTTAGGGTTAGGGTTAGGTTTTGGGGTTAGGGTTAGGGTTTGGAGTTAGGGGTTAGGGTTAGGGGTTACCGTTAGGGTTAGTGTAGGGGTTAGGGGTTAGGCTTAGTGGTTAGGGTTAGGGTTAGGCTTAGGGTTAGATTACAATTTCTAACCTGTTTTATTTTGTTTTTTTTCTGAGACAGGGTCTCCCTCTTTTGTCCAAGGCTGGAGTGTGGTAGTGCTATCACAGCTGACTGCAGCCTCAACCTTCCAGGCTGAAGCGATCCTCCCATCTCAATCTCCTACGTGGCTGAGACTACAGGTGCTTGCCACTATGCCCAACTAACATTTGGAATTTTCGTATACGTGGATTCTAGAGGGGTGACAGCGAAACGTGAGTAAGCATGGATTTTGGTATATGCAGAGATGGGGGGCTGGAACTAATTCTGTATACTGAGGGATGACGACTGTATATGTTTTTACAATTACGCTGTAGGATACATACTGTTGCATAGCCTTGAAAATAATAATTTTTAATTGAGTGGAATAATAATAATATTGATAAAAGTAGCAGCTGGCCAGGTGTGGTGGCTCACACTGGTAATCGCAACACTTTGGGAGGCTGAGGCAGGAGGATGGCTTGAGGCCAAGAGTTTGCGATAGGCCTTGGAAACAAAGGGAGTCACCATCCCTATAGAAAAATACATGAATTAGCCTAGTGTGGTGGCATGTTCCTGTAGTCCCAGCTACTTGGGAGGCTGAGGTGGGAGGATCACTTGAGCCCAGGGAGGCTGAGACTGCAGTGAGTCATGATCAGGCCTCTGCACTCCAGCCTGGGTGACAGAGTGAGACCCTGTCTCTAAACAACAAAAAAGTAGCAGCTAACATCAACTGACCTTTTACCGGGTGCCTATGGATACCATAGTTTAATTTCTTATAACTGTTTCTTATTTTACTTACCAACTCTGTCTTCAGTTACTCCCAGATTTTTACTGTGTGTGTACAGATGACCTTTTGGAGGAGCCTCAACAGGCACAGCTCCTCCCTCATAGTGGCCCATTTAGGCCCAACTCATGACTGTCGGGCTATTTCCAGGCCTAGTGTCTGCCTCGTGGCTGACTGTTGAAGCCCAAAACTTCCTCAAATCAGCCTTTTGCCCAACTTCTGTCTACTGTCGGACTCTACAGGCCAGCCTCTGCCTCACAGTGGACCCTCCAGACCCAGATGGTGTCTCACTGTGGCATCCTCAGGCGAAGCTCCTGCCTTTTGGCAGCCTCTCCGGGCCCAGCTCCTCCTGCCTCCCAGTGGCCTCTTTCGGCCCAGCCCAGCTCATGGCTCTCGGCGGCCTTCCCAGGCCCCGCTTTTGACTTTTGGCAGCCTCTTCAGGCGCAGAACTTGATCTCCAGTCGGCCTTTGCAGGCCCGGCCTCCTGCCTCTCGAAGGCCTGCACGGGCCTGGCCTCGGCCTTGGCCTCACAGCGGACTCTCCACGCCCAGCTAGCTCTCGCCTCACTGAGGCCTCCCCAGTCCAAAGCTCCTGCCTTTCGGCCACTTCGGCAGGTCCAGCTCCTGCCTGCCAGTGGCCTCTTTAGGCCCAGCTCATTCCTCACGTCGGCCATTCCAGGCCCCGTTTTTCCCTTCCGGCAGCCTCTTGGCCTCTAATTTGTTTATCTTTTGTGTATAAATCCCAAAATATTGAATTTTGGAATATTTCCACCATTATATATTTTGGTAGGTAATTTATTTGGAGTGAGTTTCTGCCCATGCCCGAATTTTTTATTTTATTTTCCTTATTATTTGGTGTTAAACAGGTTTAATGACGGTCATGGCAACTTTTTGGCACAATGAAAAATATCGCCCATGATCAACGTGTTCTGTTCTGGGGAAGGGGGCAAAGGCAGGGTGAATCACTTTCTTAAAAAGTATAGCTCAAGTTGGGAGTGCAGAGGGAATGGGGAGAAAACCCTCCCGCTGCCTGTGTCGAAGTGCAGGAGCCCCCACCCCCATACTCACCTGAGTCCAGCCCCTCTGGGGAAAGAAGGGGTGCATGAACTCCCCCTAGTCCACAGGCGCCTCCCTGTGGCCCAAGGCCCTCTTCACACTCCATCTTGTAGCCCCAGCAGGAGCTATTTTCCGAAAAGTGAAAAGCTCTGAAGGTCCCACAATTCATGGTATGTACAGGGGCTCGGAGGAGGGAAATTGCCCAGCTTTCCCCCGGCACAGCTGCAGGGTTAGGGGGTATAGATAAGAGGAGCAGGCCTTGGCCAGGCGTGGTGGCTCACGCCTGTAATCCCAGCACTTTGGGAGGGGGAGGCAGGCAGATCACGACGTCAGGAGATCGAAATCAGCCTGGCCAAGATGATGAAGCCCCGTCTGTACTAAAAATACAAAAATTAGCCGGACGTGGTAGCGTCTACCTGTAATCCTAGCTACCCGGAAGGCTGAGGCAGGAGAATGGCGTGAACCCGGCGGGAAGAGGTTGCAGTGAGCCAAGATCGCACCACTGCACTCCAGCCTGGGCGACAGAGCAAGACTCGGTCTCAAAAAAAAAAAAAAAAAAAAAAAGAGGAAGGCCTTACTCCGTCCCAAACTGAAAGGATTAAATGGCTTCACCTGGGAGAAGATAACCATCCTGCCCTCCATTGCTACCCCCACATACTGTCCATGTTCTCAGGGGGTACTGTGAGTCCTGGGATCTTTGGGGTTGCCCACCTGCCTGTGGTAGTTATGGAGACCCCCAGGTGTTGAGGCAGGGCTGGGGTGTCCCCTTCCAACCAGGCTGTCAAGGCCCCAACTCTGGGGCAGAGGCAGTGGCAGGGCAGCCAGGTTTGTGCCAGAGCCTGAGCAGGTTGAGGTGGGGTCAGGCAGGGCTGGGAGTCAGGGCAGGGGCAGCAGCAGTGGACCCGCTATGCACACATCTTCTTCTCCAAGGTTTGTGTGCAGAACATCCTGCCCATGCTGACCCAGCAGCTTCAGTTGGCACCTGCCCCAGTCCAGCCTCTGGGAACCATGCAGCAGCTCCCAGCGGCCCTGCACCCACCACCAGCATCCGTTTCACCTGCAGTTGAAGATCCGTGAGGTGCCCAGAAGATCATGCAGTCATCAGTCCCACGGAGCAGCCCGCGAGGCTGAGGCTCCTCCCACTGGACCGCCCCCCAACTGGCACCACTGCTGCCCCTGCCCCTACTCTCAGCCTCACGTGACTCTCGGGCAGAGGCAGTGGTGGGGCAGCCAGGGCAGCGTCAAGAGTCTGAGCCAGGTGAGGTGCGGTCAGGACCCCCACAGGGCTGGGAGTCAGGGCAGGGGCAGAACAAACCTTGGAGGGGAAGATGTGTGCATAGTGGGCCTGGAGGGCGGCTGTGGCCTAGTGGACAGGAAGAAGCAGTGGGCCTGGAAGAGCTGCATGATCAGGGCCGGCACTGGTCCAGGGCACGTGCAGTGAAGAGGACAGCTCCTTCTCGGTCTCCGGTTCCCTGAGCCTGTCCTCGGCTTCTCCACCTGTACAGGCAAAGGGGAAGCTGTCCCCATCACACATGGCACACTTGGGGGTGTTGGGCTTTGGACTGCAGCTGGAACATCTTCTCATCTTGCATTTGGGCGTGGTGGGGTCCTCCAGTGTGGGATCCATGTCCGTGGGGTTCCCTCTGCCCCGACCCCTAAAGCCCAGTCAGTTTCTCTTCAGGCTCTGCTCCCCGGGTGGCTCAGCCCAGCTCCTGCCTAGGAAAGCCTTAGTGTTGGGAGGGACCCTGATGACTGAGGAGCCTGGTAGCTCCAGGTCGCCCACACTTTCAGGTCTCTTGCACCAGAAGGTGGCAGGATCCATTGGGAGGAAACAGGCCACCTTGGAAGGCGTCCCTGGGCCCCCATCCCCAGGGGTTGGGGCCGTAGGGGGCCCGCTCTGCTGCGTTGACCAGACTCCTGGGCTTTGAAGGCTCCTGGGCCCAGTAAGAAGGAGGTGGGCGCCAAGGTTGAGGAGGAAGCATCCGAGTATGTGTAGGAGGAGGACAGGGTGTGACCATAGACTGCCAAAAGCTGCAGGTGGATCGGGGGACGCTGGGGGCTCAGGATCCAGCAAGGGGCGGCAGGAGTAAAGGAGGAAGGAATGACAGGTGCAAATACCTTCCCACCAAAGCCCTTGTTGCCCTCTGGCTCCTCCCCAGAGCTGTCCCCACTCTCAGTCGGTCACCCACTCCTTGAACTTGAGATCGGTGTCGGTGGTGCTAAAGCCATCATCAGCAATGACATCATCACCCCCTCCTCCTCATGGATGACCGTGTGCTCCTCGTCACTCGCTGTGTCCTCACTGGCCATGTGCTGGGAATGAGCAGCTCAGGTGGGCAGCAGCAGGGCTGCCCACGGGTCACCTCCCTCACCAGGGGCTGCAAAGTGGCCTGGAGCTCCATGCTGAGTAGAAGGCTTTGGGCCAGAGTATGATGCAGTGCCAGACACCACCTGTGTCAGTTCCCGTAGTGCCTGACGGTCTATTTCCCTGCCGTCCAGGCTGTGTACCCCGCTGTGGGAGAAGGCTTGGGCCAGGCTGAGCCAGGTTCCCTGACTGTGTGCAGCCGTTCTGCCCCACAGAAGCTGCTCCTTGGCATCCGAGCTCTGGAGTGTTTGGGCTGCAACTGACAGGAGTTCAGAGGACGCCCCAGGGGCAGTGGCAGTGCCCGTCTCTGATATGCTCCGCTCCCACGAGCCCTTGTTACACTGCTGCTAGCCCCTGGCTTGTGGGCTTGGCCTCTGAGCTGGACTTCTTTCGGTCCTTGTTGCAAGTGGGCCACCTTCACCTGGAAGGCCAGGTCGTATTTCTGCATCTCACTGGGCCCCAGGGTGTACCACCGCTCGCTCAGCATCTGGCTGACGGTCCGGTTATCCTGGTTGGGGTGACCCTGGTGCGCCCCGCCAGGGCCTGGTGCCGCTTGCTGAAGATCATGAGCGCCACTCATGGGCCACCAGATGTGGTCCTTGTCCCATTTGTTGGGGCTGCGTCCATCCTTCTCAGAAGATGAGTCCTGTTCCTTGCGCAGGGCACTGAGGGACTGGGCCTGACATCATCTGAGTGGTAGAGGCAACTGGGTGTCAGGAGACATGATGGAGAGGAAAGCATCATCATGGTCATTCTCTGTCTCACTGTCCAGCAGGGACTCCCCTGAGGGGCCCAGGGCTCCTCCTCCATGGTGGGAGGTGAGCTTTTACCAGGTTCCACCACCCCCAAAGTGTGTGGGGTTGCGGGCCCTGGGCTTTCAGGGCAGGTGGCTCCAGGGGGCCGCCCAGGGTCAACACTCCCTGTCCCACCTGGTGGACGCTCATGAGCAACAGCTGGCAACTTGGCAGGTTGTTTTCTCTGGTTGCAGGCCACTGAGTGACTGGCAGGTTGCTGGGCCTCGTGTGGCTGCAGGGAGGGGTCAGGAAGGGGATGGAGTACCAGGGGAACACAGCCGCAGAGTGACCTTCCACATTCCTCCACACGAACATGCTGACGCCACGGGAGGCCTCACTGAACGCAGGCCTGGGGGCCGAGTACTTGGTCCGGGCAGGGGGTTCCTGGCAGGGGCTCACACCTCCTCGCCCCCTCCTCAGCCAAGGTGGCTTGGGCCCAGAGAAGGGGAGGTTGGAGAGGAGCAGAAGGCCAGGCCTCAAGTTTTGTTTTTTTTGTTTGTTTTGTTTTTTGTTTTTGAAATGTAGTTTGACTCTTGTCACCCAGGCTGGAGTGCAGTGGCACGATCTCAGTGGCCTTCATACCTGGCTAATTTTTTGTATTTTTACTGGAGGTGGGGTTTTGCCATGTTGGCCAGGCTGGTCTTGACCTCCCGACCTCAGGTGATCCACCCACCTCAGCCTCCCAAAATGGGATTACAGGCATGAGCCACCGCTCCCAACTTCATTCCTTTTTACTTGAAAAACTCCGTTAAGCATTTTTTTAAGGTAGACCTAGTGGTCCTGAATGCCCTCAGCTTTGTTTGTCGAGGAAACACGTTATTTCTTTTTTCTTTCTGAAGGACAGCTTTGTCAGACATAGTATTAGTTGCTGGCAGTTTTTTTCTTTCAGCACTTTGAATGTATTATTCGATTCTGTCCTGACCTGCAAAGTTTCTTTAACTTTTGACTATTTGATTATATTGTGACTTGGTGAGTATCTATTTGGTTTGAACCTCTTTAGGAATCTTTAAGCTTCATGGATTTAGATGTCTAAATCTTTCCCATGATTTAGGCAGTTTTCAGCCATTCTTTAAATAAGCTTTCTTCTCCTTTCTCTACTTTCCTTCTCAAACTCCCATAACCTGACAATGGTTTGCCTAATGGTGTCTTGTTGGCTTTCTTTTCTCTGTCTCTTTTTTTTTTTTTTTTTTTTTTTGAGACAGAGTCATGCTCTGTCACCCAGGCTGGAGTGCAATGTGTGGTCTCGGCTCACATTGCACTCCAACCTCCGCCTCCTGGGTTCAAGTGATTCTCCTGCCTCAGCCTCCCAAGTAGCTGGGACTACAGGTGTGTGCCACCACACCCGGCTAATTTTTGTATTTTTAGTAGAGATGGGGTTTTGTCATGTTGGCCAGGCTGGTCTTGAACTTCTGACCTCTTAATCTGCCTGCCTCGGCCTCCCAAAGTGTTGGGATTACAGGCTTGAGCCACCACGCCCAGCCTTCTTTTCTCTTTTTTATTCTTTTTTTCTTTGTCCTCTGACTGGATAATTTCAGAAGATCTATATTCAAGTTTACAGATTCTCTCTCCTGTTGAAGTTTACTATTGTGTTATATCACCCAGTCTGGTCTTGAACTCCTGGGCTCAAGCGATCCTCCCACCTTGGCCTCCCAAAGTGCTGAGTTTACAAGCATGAGCCACTGCATCCAGTCAGTCCCAGCACTTTGGGAAGCTGAGGTGGGAGGATCACTTGAGCTCAGGAGTTTGAGACCAGCCTGGGCAACATACTGAGAACTTGTCTGTATATTAAAAAAAAAAAAAAAGTCTTTGGGAGGCCAAAGCGGGAGGATCACCTGAGGTCAGGAGTTCGAGACCAGCCTGGCCAACATGGCAAAACCGCATCTCTACTAAAAATACAAAAATTAGCCAGGTGTGGTGGCACACACCTGTAGTGGTGGTGCATGCCTGTAGTCCCAGCTACTCAAGAGGCTGAGGCAGGAGAATCACTTGAACTGGGAGATGGAGGTTGCAGCGAGCTGAGATTGCACCAGTGCACTCCAGCCTGGGCAACAGAGTGAGACTCCATCTTATAAAAGGAAAAAAGAAAGAAAAGAAAAATTCCATATCTGAGTGTTTACTCCTGAGTTTTTGAGATTGTTATTAAGATCGTGCTCTACTGTGATGATTTGGGTTTGTTTGATAATCAGAAAAAAGCATATTCTTTTGGGTGTTCAGCCACACTGCTTTGGTGTCACAACTGCACATTGGTTTCACAGCTGCAGGACAAATTCGAGCATCTTAAAATGATTCAACAGGAGGAGATAAGGAAGCTTGAGGAAGAGAAAAAACAACTGGAAGGAGAAATCATAGATTTTTATAAAATGAAAGCTGCCTCTGAAGCACTGCAGACTCAGCTGAGCACTGATACAAAGAAAGACAAACATCGTAAGAAGCAATAGTTTCTCTTACTATTCTGAGAGCCTTATCATTCTACATCCCATCTTCCTGTGAGATTGTCTTTGTAGCATTTAACTCTAATTGCAGTTCTCTTTTTAAAAATTGGCTTGCTTATTGTATATTTTCCCCAACTAAAGCGTGAACTCCTAGCAGGGCGTGGTGGCTCATGCCTGTAATCTCAGCACTGTGGGAGGCCGAGGTGGGTCGACTACCTGAGGTCAGGAGTTCGAGACCAGCCTGACCAAGATGATGAAACGCTATCTCTACTAAAAATACAAAAATTAGCTAGGCGTGGTGGCTGGGACCTGTAATCCCAGCTACTTGGGAGGCTGAGGCAGGAGAATCACTTGAACCCTGGAGGTGGAGGTTGCAGTGAGCCGAGATCTCACCATTACACTCCAGCCTGGGTGACAAGAGCAAAACTCCATCTCAAAAAAAAAAAAAAAAAAAAAAAAAGGTGAACTTGAAGGCAGGTCCTGTGTCCATCTTTTCAGATTCTGTATCCCAGCACTTAGGACATAGACAAACAAGAAGATGACAATCAATATTTGCCAAAATGAAAAAACAAAAGAAACATGTAACATCATGTAAAAGAAGCTGGTTAGGTGGAGAAATTTATTTACCATAGTCTTGCTTGTGGATCCAGTAGTGACTTTTACATTTTATATCTAAATAGACGCTGGAGGCTTTGTTGGGTACTCATAGGCATAAAATATTATGTTATTTATTATAGAGTTAAATGCTACAAAGACAAATCTAATTAATAGGCCTATTTTCCTGTTTAAGTTCTACTCATAATTTCTTCATAATTTTTATGATAAAAGGTTGGATTTTGATTAGAACTCCCATGCTTTTGTGTCAGAATTAAAACTGGTATTAGAATAAATAATTCAAAAGCTAGAGAAAGAGTACAATGAGAAGCCATGAGTTGCATTTGAATTATAATATTATGTCTTACAGATTTGGGGTATATGCTAAAGTTACCAAAGTTGTAGAAAATAAGGCCGGGCATTGTGGCTCACATCTGTAATTCCAGCACTTTGGGAGGCCGAGGTAGATGGATCATTTGAGGTCAGGAGTTCGAGACCAGCCTGGCCAACATGGTGAAACTCCGTCTGTACTAATAGTACAAAAATTAGCCAGGCGTGATGGTGTGCACCTGTAGTCCTTGCTACTCAGAAAGCTGAGGCAGGAGAATCGCTTGTACCCAGGAGGCAGAGGTTGCAGTGAGCAGAGATTGTGCCACTGCACTCCAGCCTGGGTGACAGAGTGCTATGAGTCACCACACCTGGTATGAGCCACCGTGCCTGGCCCACAATGACTTTTACACATGTTGTTAAATCATCTTACAGATTTTATAATTTGGGGGAAGAAAAGTTTTACTAAATTGTCTTTTAATGGAAACTCTACAAGAACCAGAATCTTTGCTTTGTTCACTTGTGTATCCATTCCTAGGCCTAGAAAAATGTCTGACACATAGCGGCAATTATTCATTGAATAAATGGACCCAGCGATAGTACATTAGCTATGCTATATGCATACATTAAAGATGTAGATTATCGACTTTCAAAAGATAATTAATGTAACTTCTTACTGCTTCTGAACATGTTTGTGAGTTATATTGCTGAGGGACCTTTATCTTCTCATTCTTTCATCTTAACCCAGTGTTATAAAATTGAAATCACCAATATTATTCCATATCTAAAATTAATATCTACCTTGTAAAAAATATCACTCTGCTGCATTTGAGAATAGACTTTTTAGGTAATAATGATGCAATCCATAGGGCTTTTTGGGGGCACAGAGGGATTCATGCTAACAGAACATTTTATTTTCTATTTTCCCAGAGCTGTAAAACATGAAATTACGGTAGTATAAGGCATATTTTTACTCTTTTTATAATTTTTTCTAAAAAAAATTAGTGTTTGTTCCCTATATAACTTTTAACTTTATAGGTAAATATTTGTCTCTTTCAGCTCCAGTTTTATGTGAAATAGAGTTTTCAGATGTATGTAGCATGGAAAGTTTTAATACGTCAGAGTTACTGATTTTTGCCATTTTCTCAATTATTTCTTTTTTATCTTTAGTTGATTTTTTTGTAGTGACACATTTTGTTTCTAGTCTCATTTCCTTTTGTTTATATTCTATGTATATTTCGTTTTTGGTTACTATGAGAATTACATATAACATCCTAGATTTATAACATTTTAATTTGAATTTATTTCAACTTAAGTTCAATCACATACCAAAATTCTACTGCTATACATATAGCTCTACTCTTTTTATGTTATTGATGTAACAAATTATATCTTTATTCATTGTATACCAGCTAACAGATTTACAATTACATTTTACGCATTTGCCTTTTAAATTATGTAGAAAATAAAAAGCAGAGTTAGAAACCAAATTACAATAGGACTGTTTTTATGTTTGTTTATGTATTTACCTTTACCAGAGAGCTTTGTATATTCATACACCTTGCTTATTTACTTATATAGTTATTGCCTAGAGTTCATTTATTTCAACCTGAAGGACTTAACACTTCTTGAATGGCAAATTCAGGAATAAATGGATTTTTTTTCAGTTTTAAAAAAAAATCCGGAAATGTCTTAATTTCTCCCTCATTTTTGAAGGATAAGTTTTCCAGCTATAGATTTCTCAATTGACAGGTTTCTTAATTATTTTAAATATATAATCCACTGCCTACTGGCCTTCAAGGTTTCTGCCGAGAAATCAGCTGCTAATGTTATCTGGATCCCTATCTGTGAGAGTTGCTCTTCTCTCTGAGTTTTCAACATTCTCCCATTATCTTTTGTTTGTTTGTTTTTGAGACAAATAATTGTACATATTCATGGGATACAGAGTGATATTTTGATACATGTATACAATGTCCAATGATCAAATAAGGATAATTAGCATATCCATCACCTCAAATATTTGTCATTTATTTGTATTGTGAACAGTCAACATTCTTTCTTCCAGTTTTTTAAATTTATAAACATTTAAATTTTATTACAGAAATTTAAATTTTTTGATTCTGAAAAAGTTATATACATATGCAACATCGTTTTATCATTTATTTATATATTTATGCATCTTTCCTTTTAGTTTTGACAGAGATTTTCTATTTAATCATTATTTCAAAAGAACTCTTACCTGTATTTATTTATCAATTATATTTCCCTTGTTTTTTCCTAGTATATTAATTTATTTACTTATCTTCTAAAAATCCTCCATATAATCTGTTTGTTTCCTTTCTATAATTTCTTCAATAATTAGTTCTGTTCTATTTTCCATTAAAATATTTAAATCTTGTATGAATTTTTATCAGATTAGAAATTTAGGGCGTTTCTTAATTTCTCTATACTCTAGCTTTTGACTTTTTTTTTTCTGACCTAAGAGGTATTTAGAGCACATTTTAGATTTTTTATTTTGACTAATCATTTAAAATGTATACTAATCTTCAATTTAAATAAAAAACTGGTCTATAGTGACAAAAATTACAAATGAGCCTAACTAATAAATTATCAGCTGTGTTTATATGTATAGGCATGCACAGATTTTGGTAAATATGTACATAGTATATTGGTGAGCTTATTTTTGTCGTTCTTAACTCATTGTGTAGTCTAAACGTTGGGGAAAAAATAAAATACAATAATCAGATGGCGTGAATAAGAAAATTGTTCTAATGTTTGTAAACCAAGCAACGGTTTTAACTGCTCCCCTCTTCCTGATTGACTTCCAAAAGGGATTAATCCATATTAGGTCCTGTCGTATATGTCACGGTATAACATCTCCAGCTATAAAATGGAAATTTGAGAATAACTTTGCTGCTACTCAGATACATTTTATTTCAAAAACATACACTAAGGTGTTGCTGTTGGATCTTTCCAAAAACATATTCACACAGAACTTTCAATCACACTGAGCCATATTTGAACAATCTTTCAAGGTGAGCTCTGGCATAAGCTAACATTATACCATTTAACTCGGAAATTTCTGTAGTATTTGATTAATGGGTTTATGTTTGATATGTAATGTAATTTTCTAATGCTAAATCAAGTGGTAATTTTGTTAGTCAAGTTGATTTAGTGGCTTGGGAAGAAAGCTTTTAATGTTCCCCTAATTTTTCTTACCTTTGACATGATCCTTCACATGTCTTATTTTGCTTAGTGATTTTTCTTTTTTTTTTTTTTTTGAGACAGGGTCTTACTCTACCACCCAGGCTTGAGTGCAGTGGTGCGATCACAGCTCATTGCAGCCTTGACCTCCCAGACTCAAGCTATTCTTCCACCTCAGCCTCCCAAGTAGCTGGTACTACAGGCACATGCCACCAAACTTGGCTAATTTTTGTATTTTTTGTAGAGACAGAGTTTTGCCAAATTTTCAGGCTGGTCTGGAATTTCTGGGCTCAAGTAATCCTGCCTTGGCCTCCCAACATGCTGATATTACAGACATAAGCCACAGTACCCGGCCAGTTTTCTTTTTTTAAAAATCTATTGGTTATTAATTTGAAGCCTTCCTTTTCATAGCTGTGCTCCTTAATTGGGAGCAAACATGAATGGACCACAACTTAGCCAATTTTCTATATACGATCTTTGCCATCCTAATTTAAAGGAATATTAATTCTTTCTTTTCCTCTTTCATTCCACAAACCTGTATTGACTACATCTAAGTTCTAAATGGTGCACTGGATGTTGAAAAAGTTGATGATGAGCAAGAACAAAATTCCACCTTTCAGGAGACTTACAGTTCAATATGGGAAATATAATTTGTTAAAATATAAAAGTGCAATTGTGTTACATGCTGTACGAAGTACATGTTGACATGTGAGCATATAATAAATGGGCTGGAGGCCAGAGGATTGCCAAAGAGAATGGGCCTCCTGCTGAGATGAAAAGTTGAGCAGGGATTAGTTGGCGAAAGTGGAGGGACGACCCTTTCTAGGCAGGAGGAAGAACATGTACAGAATCTCTGAGGTGTGATGCGACAAAGTCTATATGAAAAACTGAAGAAAGGTCTAATGTGGCTTAAATACAGAAGCCAGTAGGAGAGGAGTCGAAAAGAGGCTGGAGAAGTAGAAAGTGTCTGCATTCTGCAGGAACTTATATTGTATAAAAAGAATTTCTCTTTATTCTAAGTGCAATGTGAAGCCAATGAAGTGCCTTAAACAGGTGATGTGATTTGATTGAATTTATTACTTCACTTAACAAATATTCATTACATGCCCACTGTTTGTCAGATATTGCTGTAGCCCCTGGTGATACAGTAGGGAATAAAACAGGCAAAAATCCCTGTCCTCTTGCAGCTTATAATGGACTGCAATGTTTAATATGTCAGAGGAGGTCCACGGAGGAGTGACTTCTAAGCAAGAATCTGAAAAAAATGAGGATATCTAAGGAGGGAACAAATGGTTCAAAAGCCCTATAATTGCAAGCAGGCATGATGAAGCAATTGTAGTTGTCCTGACTCTCAACACCGTGGAACTCAAAGGAGATGGAAAGATTCTTTCTCTCCCTCATATATTTTCTCTCTGTCTATATATATAGAATATGAGACATTTCCCTAATCATTATGTGTAATTACAATTACATATATATATGTATGTAATATATAAACATATATATGTAATTGTAATTACACATAATGATTAGGGAAATGTCTCATATTCTACTCAAAAATAAGCAATATAGCAATTACTGTTTTTTACATTTTACAGTTACAGTTTCAGAGAAAGTTTGATATTTATCTAAAATTTTTCAATGTATGAACTTTTTCATTTGGCAAACCATAATTGTACATATTCTTGGGATACAGAGTGATATTTCTTTACATGTATAGAATGTGTAGTGATCAAATCAGGGTAATTTCCACTAATTTAAAATGCCACCTTTATGTTATTGTAATTTATATATATACTATATATATACACACACACATATATATATACATGTCCACATACAGTGTGTGTGTGCACATGTACACACATGCATATGTGTATATAATGCCCAGTATAAGCAATGTGCACAAATAAAATTAGCTAACAGAGATAGTATAGAGTGAGAGGAGAGGCAGATTAATCTTTGAGGAAAAGCACAATTTTATAGCTGAATGGAGAAAGCTGAGGTGGTTTCTAAGATGGAGAATAAGACGAAAAATGTAAGTACGTTGTTTGACTGAATTCAAGAAAGAAGGGTAAAAGAGAAGAAAGTAGTGGTCTTATCATTAAATGCCACAGAGAGGTAAAGATAAAGACAACATATTGTTTTGGGTTTAGTAATTTAAGGGTTACCAAATTCCGTTTTGGAGGAGGAACAGATTCCATGTCCACTAGAATGGAATGAACAAGAAATGGAGGAGGAAAATAGGTACTTTTTCAAAAGTTTTCAAAAATATGAAAAGAAGAAATGAAGTGGTACTTGGAAGAGATTGTTGAAATGGGAGAGACTATGGTGGCTTGTTTAGAAGCAGTTGAGATAGATCCAATTGAGATAGAGATATTGACTATATAAACACAAGAATGACAAATTAATAGTGTAATGGATAACTTGACTTTGGCAAATATTGTGAATTTTTGTGAAAGTACAACTAAAGGGCAATGTCACTCCAATAATCACCAGAGTAATCAATTTGCTTATTGCTGTCCCTTTAAATATAGTTCTCTGGTATCAACTAACATGTTTTTAACTAATGATGCTTCTTAAAGAAAAGGGAAAAGACCTTTTTCTTTCTTTCAGTCTTCAATGATTCACTGCTTCATCTCGCTCCACCAAAGATAAATGAAATCTACATCTCTTATACATTAACAATGCATGACAATTTACAAATAGCTAAATTTTTGGAGCTAACTTTAAGTACCTGAATGGAATTTAATCAACCCACTAATCTCCTTCTCACTTCTCAGTTATTTATCAAGTTTATGTCAAGGGACAAGGAAAAATTATCCAAACATTGTTTAAAACAATCATCATTAATTAGTAACACTTATCCAGGGGGGTTTTTAACCTTTCCCCCACTCAAGGATTATTCTAATGTCAGAGTAGAATAAAAAATAAGTGCAGCGATGCTGACTCTTCCAAGCTTAACATTTCTCACAAGTCAATTAGCTTTGTACTGGGAGGAGGGCGTGAAGGGCTGCTTGCGGTAGTTGTGTAGCAGCAGCACAATGGCCGCAGACAAGGAAAACAGTTTCTAGGAATTCCTCGTATATAATTTTATATTTTTGACAAGATTAATGACCCATGCTCCCTTCCTCTCCATTTCTTTTTTTGGAATTCTGTTGGTATGTAGTTACTATATTTTATTAAAGGAAATTAGCCTTATCTCTTATTATATTTTATTAAAGAAAATTATTATATTATTCCTTTATATTTTTATTAAAGGATTTTATTATTATTAAAGGAAATTAGCCTTATCTCTTATTATATTTTTTATGACCTTCAAAGTAGTGTCTCTGCTTAAAAGTGTACCCTGGCCGGGCGTGGTGGCTCACACCTGTAATTCCAGCACTTTGGGAGGCCGAGGCGGGTGGATCACGAGGTCAGGAGATCGAGACCATCCTGGCTAACACGGTGAAACCCCGTCTGTACTAAAAATACAAAAAATTAGCAGGGCATAGTGGCGGGCACCTGTAGTCCCAGCTACTCAGGAGGCTCAGGCAGGAGAATGGCGTGAACCCGGGAGACGGAGCTTGCGGTGAGCTGAGATCGCACCGCTGCACTCCAGCCTGGGCGACAGAGCAAGACTCCGTCTCAAAAAAAAAAAAAAAGTGTACCCTGAAGCACACATCAAGCGACATGTAGAGTTCATAAATTCTGGCCAAATGGTCATACCTCAAACCTCATCAGCAGTAAGGCTCTTTACTTGCACTGACAAATATGAACGCTGGGGAATTTGGAAATGATATATAATATAAAATATTATATATATAATAGATATATAATATATAATATATATAATACATATATATTATATATGTAATAGATATACAATATATAATATATAATAGATATATAATATTATATATAATAGATATATAATATATAACTTTCCATGTGATTTTCCTCTTAATTTTTTTCTAGCTGATCCATATGAATTCCTCTTATTAAGAAAAATAAAGCATCCAGGATTCAATGAAGAACTGACTATCACCTTGTTAATCATTCAGAAACATGTTGCACGCTTAAGCCATTTTTGATATAGATACTGAAACAATTACTTGCTAAGAGCAATCTTGAAGGTATGGATAAGGCCCTGAGTCATCTTCCTGAGCTGAATGATAGTTAAGCTGAATGTACGTATAAAATATGATTTTCTAACCACTTGCTCGCCAACAAGGAAAACTTTTAAGTAGAGCAGAACCTGAATAGACAAGACATTTCTTTCTTTTGGTAGAAAATGATTTACCATCACTGTGTAGTTAATTGTAGACTAGGTAATTTTAACTTTGTGATTTATTGCCGGAGACATTTTCTTCTGTACTGTAAAGTGTGTGTCAAAAAAAAATAGCGATTTTGGAGGATTAGGGGACTTTGATAAATTGCCTGCAATTCTGGCAGTATGAACTGCATATTAATTTCTCTCTGTCAAGAACATTTTTATTTATTAATTCCTTACAAAAACTCCCTAAACTTTGGAACAGCTCTCAATTGCCTGTATTCTTTTTTTTCTTATTATGGTACTCTTCTAGAGATTTGGCTTGCATCTGTGAATAAGCCAGGACATCTTCAGAAATTGTCTGATTAAAAACACCACCAATGGAGTTTCATTAAATTTGTATTGCTCTGACTAGTGAAACACACACATCTATGTTGCTGAGGATATTTTACTGCAGTTCGAGTTGTAATAATAGCTCTGTTTAAGATCCGTCAGTCACTTGAATCTTCTCTAAGGCTTTGTATGTTAGAAGTTAATTTGCTTTCTTACAAGGCCACATTCTATCTTGTAACTAAACAACTGAATTTTATGTCTTAGCGTAGATGGTTTATTACTTTCTGGTTTTTCTTTAGTAAGAATCCTATAAAAACACTAGTATTTTTCTCTGAGTTTAAAATTCAATACATGCCTACTGATATGGTTAGGCTTTGTATCCCCACCTGAATCTCGTCTTGAATTGTAATCCCCATAGCCCCCATAATCCCCACAGGTCAAGGGAGAGACCAGGTGGAGGTAATTGAATCATGGGGGCAGTTTCCCCTGTGCTGTTCTTGTGATAGTGAGTTCTCACGAGATTTGATGGTTTTATAAGGGATTCTTTCCCCTTTGCTCGGCACTTCTTCATGCTGCCTTGCGAAGAAGCTGGCTTGCTTCCTCTTTGTCTTCCGCCATGATTGTAGATTTCCTGAGGCCTCCCAAGCTGTGCTGAACTGTGAGCCAATTAAACTTCTTTCCTTTATAAATTACCCAGTCTTGGGCATTTCTTTATAGCAGTATGAAAACAGAAAAATACACCTACTATGTAAAACTTAAAATACAAAAAAAAAAACATTATCTCACTAACATAGGAGCTAATATTTTGGTGTACTTTGTTTAGTATTTTATATTAAAAATATGTACATATATATTTATATATAATTAAGAACATGTATGTACAATCGTGCATACATCATGTATATACATCTACTTAAGAAAATAGCTATGTAATATACCATTACTCAACTAGATTATAATTTTTTCTCCATTTCTTTATTGTAATTTATCATTTTCTACTTTTTTGTTTTCTCATTTTTATTGCATAATATTTAATTATGCAAAAAATACATTAAATACATTGAAAATATATAGTGTAGCTATAAGAATAAAGAACGATGGTAAAACAAATGCTAATACCCACTACCTGACTTAAAGAATATGATATTATTTTTTTCCAATTGAAATTCCCTCAACTACTCAGAATTACTGCTATCCCTCTTATCCTTTCATTAATTTTCTTCTAGTTTTCTCACATGTGAATCTATTTCTAAATACATTTCTTTATTTTGCAAGTTTTTGGACTTCATATAAATGTAACCATATTGTATATATTCTTCTTCAGCTTCTTAGTTTTTCACTAAACAATATGTTTTGCTGATACTTACATTCATATGTACAGTAATAGTTGATTTATTTTAATGGCTATATATTATTCCATTGTTAGAATACACCAGGATTTATTTTTACTTATTTTTTTTGCTGGAAAATTGGGTGTCTTTTTTATTTTTTGATATAACAAACAATGTTGTAATCATTTTGTGTTTACTTCCTAGTCCACTCCTGTAAGTTTCTCTTGAGTACATACTAGCAATGAATATGCTGAGTCACTGCATATACATACTCACAACTTTATTCTATAATGTAATATTCTATAAAGTAGCTGTATCAGTTTATACTTTAACCAGTAATGGACAAGATTTTCTGTTACTTCCCATCTTTGTTAATTATTACTTTTAGACTCTAACTTTTATCAGGCTCATGGATGTAAAAAGCATCTCAGGGTGGTTTTAATTTGCATTTATCTGCTCATCTATGAAGATGAGTTTCTTTTCATATAATTATGAGTCATTATTTTTGTTTTGCCTTCTTTTGTTTATGCATTTTGCTTGTTCTATGTCTTATTTTTCCTGTTGATTTTTGGGAATTCATATATATTCTAAATGTATATTTATTCACTCATATATATGTTGTAAATATTACAGTTTATGATTTGTCACCTTATGATATCATCCAAATAGAGAAGCTTTATATTTTGATGTAGTCATATGTTCATTTTTCCTCCTTAATGTTTGTTTTTCTTGGTTCTATGACCTACCAAAAGTAACAAAAATTCTCATTTATTTTTAATCTAAATGTTTTAAGTATTTTCCTGGAATTCACCTTGAATTGATTTCTATTGGAGATAGGTATCCAATCTAATTTGCCTCATATGGATAACCACTTGTTCTATTACTGCTGTAACAAATTTCTACAAACTAAGTGACCTAAAATAACACAAACTTGTCATCTTACAGTGTACACAAGTCAGAAATCAGGCATGAATTTTAGTGAACTAAAATCAAGTTGTTGACAGGCATGTTTCTTTATGGTGGCTAGGGTAGAATCCATATCCTGGCCTTTTCTATCTTCTAGAGAACATCAGCATTCCTTTTCTCATTGCCTCTCCTCTCTCTTTTTAAAGCTGGCAATGTCACATTTCTCTGACCATTCTTTCATTGTCACATCTCTCTCTGGACTCAGCTAAGAAAGGTTCTCCATTTTTAAGAACTCATGTGATTAGACTGGGCCCATCTGGGTAACCCAGGAAGATCTCTCCATCTCGGTTTGCATCCTTAATCACATCTGATAAGCCTTTATTGCATTCAGTGTAACATATTCACAGGTTCCAGGGTTAGGCATGGGCATCTTTGCGGGCCATTATTCTCCCTACCACATTATTTGCCTAGCATCTTTCATTACATTGTCCATCTATTTACTTACTGATTTCTAATGACATCCAAATCAGTTACAACATTTTATGTAAGCATTGTTTTTATTTTTATGTTATTCCACTAGTCTGTTTTTCTACTCATGAATTATGGCACATGAGTTTATTTTTGCAACTTTAAGCTCAATAACATGTTTTAAGATTTCCTCAACTTTCTTTTTCCACTTCTTCAGAAGTTGACTCTTTTGGCCCTTTGGTCTTCTATACACATTTTAGAAATGCTTTGTTGAGGACTAAGAGGAATGCTAAGATTTTGATAGGAATTTCATTGAATTTTGAGTATATTGGCATGCTACAATGGTTAGTGCTTTATACATGAAAATAATATATCCCTTCCTCTTTTCCTAGTATCATGAGATGTTTGTTAGGCAGACATGAATGTTGAGTTGTATCAAATGTGTTTTTCTGCATTATTGTGGTGGTGATGTGATTTAGCTCCTTTAATTAGTTAATGTAATGAATTACATTTGTAGATTGCTCTAACTATTGAAACAAGCTTGAATTTCTGGAATAAGCCCAATGTGATATTTATTCAACAAATATTCATTGAGTATACCTAGTATGTAACATGCTTTAAGAATACACCAGTGAACCAAACAGAAATATCTGACATTACAGAACTTAACATTCCAGTATTTGGAGACAGACGATAAAAAAGTGAACATGTGTATTTACAGTTTGTCAAGGAATGATAAATGAAGACTCTTAAAGTAGATGGGGAATTGGGAGTGAAGTCTGTAATTTAAATAGGGTGGGCAGGAAAGCTTCACAGAGAATGGGACATTTAAGAATAGACTTGAAGGACAGGCAAGAGCAATCTCTATGTTTATATGGGAGAAAAGGTTCCAGGCAGATGCAGTAACAATGGCAAATATCCTGAAGTAGGATCATGCTGGAGTTTTTGTGGAGCAGCAAGGAGGCTAGTGTGACTGCCACAGAATCACCCAAGGGAAGATGAGAAGATCAGACCAGACCAGCACTTGGGCATCTAATGGGAAAAGTTTCTCAAGCCATCATAAAAATTTCACTTTTACTATAAATACTATGAGAAACCATGGGATGTTTTACAGTAAGAAAGGTGGCATAATATGTTACATGTTTTAAACAAACTCTATAGCTTCTGAGTTGAAATAGATTGTAGGGGCTCCTGGCAGAAGCAGAGGGAACATTTAGGAGACTACTGTAAAGAATATCATGAAAAGAACAAACAACGCTATGTAACATGCTTAAATGGACTGAAGAAGATGTATAAAATCAAAATGATGTTACCTTCACACCTTGAATCAGTACGATAAACCCCCCTCCCCAATCACAAAAGAAAAACTAAACACAAAAACCAGGCTTTGGTTGCTCAGACAATTTTACAGGTGAGTTCTAGCAAACATGCAAAGAACGTTTAATTGCACTGTTACAGAAATTCTTCTGGAGACAAGAAAATACGACACATCACCCAACCAATTTCATGATAACAATGTCAATGTATAATAACAGAAAAAGTGGATCTCTGAAGAAATAAATTTATTTGGAAATAAACAAGTTTTATAATCTGAGATATTTGTGCTATGATCAATCATAGGTGCATCCCAAGAGGTTGAGGTAAGGAAAATATGTAAAGACAAAAAGAAGTCTATGCAAGCTGTTTTGAAACAAACATCATTGGTCACAGGGTCTGATGCAGGAGCTGGTGTTAACTTACTGGCAGAAACAGCCATTGCTAGGCAAGTGTTCTTGTGAGGGTGGCTTATCTGAAATGCTGCAGTCTTGAGGAATTTTTTATGATAGATCCTATTATAGAGACACCTACAGGATGAGCTGGACAAACAGAGTGTGCTGGGTGGGCAGAAATTTCTTGTGAGTTTATAGAAAGTCCTTGTGATAGTGCTTATCGTGGACACACACACAAGATCCCCTTTTTCATGACCCGGCTCCACTTTGCTTTGGGTCTGATGTAAGTGACTTTGCCTTGTCATTGGCAACTTTCACTGTAGTATAATCTGCACATTAAAGTTATCTAACAATAGTACAAAGAAAAAAATTAAAGGTATATCTCTTTCAAAAATATAAACCCCAAAATTGTTAGGAAATTGTAGTGAGTATAAAAGATAATTCATTATAATAGACATCTCAAGCTTCACAGAATTCTGACCTTTGCTACACTCTCATCCACAATCTTTTCTCCTAGTAAATGGCAGCTCCTTCTGTTAAGTTGCTGAGGCTTCTTATTGCTTTTTTCTTCAAATAACAGTCAGAACTGAACAACTGTAATCATCCTAGTCCATACAATTGTTATATTTTCATTTAAAGAAGATCAATGTGTGATTCTTTTTTTATATATTTCTGGACAATTCTTTATATTTTAATAGTAGTCAGAATTTGATCAGGAAAACAGAAGACATCCTATGTATTATAATGATAAAAGTTTAATATTAATTAGGGCCTTATGCTATTATTGGAAGAGCTTGGTGAATAGATATTAGAAAAGCAGCTAGACAAAATCAGAAGAGGTCTGTTTTATATCAGAGATCTTAGCCTGACAGTCTAGAGTGTGGGCACAGAACCCAAGCTTATAGGAATTTCTGAAAGGTCTGTAAATCTTATCCAGATGGACAGTGGGAGCTCATAAAGGATTCTGCAAGCCATCACATCTGTCAAACCTGCTATGTCTAATCCTTAAGCCTGCTTTATGTGAAGACCTCCTCTTCACTCCTCACTTCCAGCTCTCATGAGTTTCTTTCATAGGCAAACCCAAACCTGGAACAATGTGCCTGAAGACTTCGCGTGACACAGTACCCAGACTTAAATAGGAGGGGAGCCATGGTGGAAGTGGCCATCCAGCACAGTTTTCTTGGTCTTTACTCATAGTTTTGATTCCTTAAAAAAATTAACCACATTAAAATATGTGTTTCATAATCTACATCTAATAATACAAATATTTAAAGTCTTTTCAAGTTTGAATATGCTACCCATGTTGCTGCTACCCCCATTTTGTGTGTGTGATTTTTTTGTGTGTGTTAGAAGCTCATGACCTTTGAAACCTGCTCTTATGAGCTTGCTTTGATGATTTATTTGTCCAGAGAGGATTTTTTTTCCTACCTAGCATTTTGGACTGCTATCAACCTGAGACCACTTTGAATTAAATTCTCAGCTTGCAAATTTGGAAGCCACACAGATTGTGTGAGTTCAGGCTGAAACCTGTTTGAGAGCTGGATTCTGGCTATAAACTCCACAGGGAACATTTTCTCTCTCCACTCAGAGCTGAGACCATAGGGAAATTTATTTGCTAGCTCTCTTTGAAGGTTTATTGTATTTATTTTTTAAATTTCTAGTACATGTGCTCACTGAAGGTGTAATACTTATGTGAGAATCTCAAAATCAGTTGTGTTCTTTGTATGACCCTGGTTTTGTTTCCTCCTGCTCTCTTACTTTCAGTGTGTCTCAGTATGTCTGCTCAATATGTCATCTTAAATTTCAACTGAGGGTGGATCTTCTTCCCAGCTCACTCACATGGTTCTTAGCTAGATTCAGTTTCTCTCCATTTGTAGGACTGAGGACCTCAGTTCTTCACTTAGGGTTGGCTACAGGTAATCATCAATTTCTTGTAACAGGACTTACACTGGGCCACTGACAGCATGCCAGTTGGCTTCATTCAAATGAGAGGGCAAGAGAAAGAGAGAGAGGGAGAGGGCACAAGATGAAATTCACAGTATCTTATAATCTAATCTCAGAAGTGGCATCTCATTTCTTTTGTTCTATTCTATTCAATAGAAACAAGTACCTGGGACCAGCTTATACTATAGGAAAGAGATTATATAAGGGTATAAATACCAAGAGGTAGAGATCATCAAGAGCCATTCTGGTAGCAGCCACAATATCTTATCCAGAATATTTCTTATTCAGGCCTTCAAATGTGCTGTCTTTTCTGGTCTAATGGAAATGAACCTTCCTTCCATACAATTTCTTCTCCTAAACTGTACTCTGGCTCTCTTATCACATACAAACGTCTATGTTAGGTATTTGTGTCTGTCTTGATTCTTGGTAGGCTTTTAAACTCTGTGAATGTTGGACTGTGATGTAGACATCATTTCACCGCACACTCTGTAACCACCAAACCTTAGCAGCTTATTCAGTAAGCACATACTTGGCTCTTAATGAGTATTGCTTAAATTGATGAATTGAATTAGTACTTTACCTTCTCTGTTGCTTAGCTAAGCAGAAGAATTTGTCATTTTTTTAATGTAGTGACTGGTTCTATTAAAAGTTACCTTTGTCTATATCATTTTGTTATACTAAAGCACAAATGTATAAGGTCAAAAAACATTCTCAAGATTTTGTTTAAACCACAGCCCTCAGCTGTGTATATTTATCTCTTGTTTTCATATGCAAGATTTCTCCTGAAATGGGCAACAATTACAAGAGTTTTTTTCCTCTTCTGAACTAAGAAAATAAATATTTAATTCACAAGTTTAGAAAAGTGAACCTGAAAAATCACAGGGCTAGGTGGGTTATGAGGCCCACTGGTACATGATAGTGTTGAATGTGGATTAGAATGAACTCCGTGGATTAGAATCTCAGACCATAGGCAAACATTTACTTGTTTTAGAATAAGCACATTTGAGTCTGCAATAAGTATTACTATTTTTAAGTTGAAAATGTAATTGGTTTCTAATAATAACCATATTGGCTAGCATTATTTCTCATGTTTAATGTTTTCCAATGTCATTTCATGTCAGATATCTCTCTTGATTCTTAGTAACAATTTGGACAAGACAGCAAATGCTATTGTCCAAGTTTTCTAAAGAAGAATCTGAAATGAAATGACATCAAGAGACCTATCAAGACCTGTATCCAGGAAAAGGTAAATCTGAGCTGAAACTGTAGCCCTTGTAAATTACCTATGTGACATACCAGATAGTGTTCATGATCCATTCAGTACTCTGTTCTAAAAATGAGACAATATCCATTTATTCACTTGTTCATTTATTTAGTGTTTGTTCAGCCCTTACTGCATATTCCAGGCACTATTCTGACTGTGGCAGGAGTGAACAAACAGGCATGGTTCTTACTTGCATGTAATTACAGTCTTATAGTGAAAACAAGTGTTAAACAACAAAATCTCCCAATTATTTTAAAATTATAAACTTGATTCGATACTATGTGGCCATATAATTGTTCCTAATTTGGTTGGAGAAGGGAGGCAGTTAGGGAAGCCTTCCCTGAGTTAGTGCCATTTAACCTGAATTATGATAGATGATAAGTAATTTGTCAGGGGAAAAATACTCCAGGAATAAAGAACAGGTACAAAGGTCAGGTTCTGGGAAGAGCTTGTCTTGGTCCAGGAGCTAAAAAATGTTAGAGTGGCTGGATCTGGGAAAGAGACAAAGAGTTATTAAATGAGGCAGCAGGCTTCAGCAGGTGCCACATTGCTCAGGGCCTTGTAGGCCATGCTAAGGATTTGGGATGTTAATGTCAGTACAAACAATTGAGTCATAAGCAGAAAGTAAAAGCATGATTCCATCAAATGTTATTCTCTAAACAGTAATTTTATAAATACAGGTTAAATGTGTGTGGTCCCAGCTACTCAGGAGGTCCCAGCTACTCAGTATTCCTTTTCAACAAATATTAGGTGCCTACTATTAGCCAGGTACAGCCCTTAGCTTCTTTGAATGAAGCATATATTACAAACTGGCAGAATTTCTTAAACAAAGAATCTAAAGTTGTTTATACACCATAATCTCGGTATTTTATAAATTTCTTGAAATTATTTTTATGTACACTGCTTTGCAGAATTTTAACTGGCTTTGAAATAAACAATGACAATAGTCCTCCATGTTACTAGTTTCAAATTTTCCCAATACCTACTAAGACATTACTTAATCCACAGATTTACTGTCAATAGTTTGTATCAAATTGTGATAACATATTTGAAGTTAATATTTCAAATTAAAGCAAAATCACAAATTTATACTTTATATTATGAATGAGATTCACAAAAGGAGCATGATAATATATTCTGTTGTCATCGCATACAAAATAATAACATATAGAGTATGAATCAATAATTTTTCAAATACAAAGCTATTACAATTAGGAATACAAAGAAATCATAATTAGGAATACTTCTACAATATTAACACACAATAGTGGTAACACTTGCAAAATGATGGTGGTGGTTTTTTTTTTTTTTTTCCCCGACAGAGTCTTGCTCTTGTTGCCCAGGCTGGAGTGCAATGGCGTGATTTTGGCTCACTGTAAACTCCACCTCCTGGGTTCAAGCGATTCTCCTGCCTCAGCCTCCCTAGTAGCTGGTATTACAGGTGCCTGCCACCACACCCAGCTAATTTTTGTATTTTTAGTAGAGATGGGGGTTTCACCATGTTGGCCAGCCTGGTCCCGAACTCCTGACCTTAGGTGATCCACCAGCATCGGCCTCCCAAAGTGCTGGGATTACAGGTGTGAGCCACTGCGTCCAGCCAGTGGTGGGTCTCATATCTCAATGTGGACTTTTACTAACTCCCGATGCCTCATTTTCCTCATCAGTTGAAAGGAATGAATGAAAGATTTGTGTTTTTCATATTACCAGGTAGATGATAAGGAGATTTTAATTTTCTTTTTTTTTTTAACTTTTATTTTAAGTTTAGGGGCATTTGTTACATAGGTAAACTGGTGTCACAGGGGGTTATTGTACAGATTATTTCATCATCCAGGTATTAAACCTAGTACCCAATAGTTATCTTTTCTGCTTCTCTTCCTTTTCTCACCCTCCACCCTCAAGTAGACCCCAGTGTCTGTTTTATTCTTTGTGTTCATTAGTTCTCATCATTTAGCTCCCACTTATAACTGAGAGTATGCTGTATTTGGTTTTCTGTTCCTGCATTAGTTTGCTAAGGATAATAGAAGGTCCATCCATATTCCAGCAAAAGACATGATATCATTTTTTAATGGCGGCATAGTATTCCATGGTGTATATGTACAGCCTGCATATAAACTGTGGGCTAAAGACCTTCACCCAGAGCAGTCTGACAGAACCTCTCTGAAAGACTTCTCCTAGGCTGTAATCCTCAGTCTCTTGTTCTCAGACCCCTAAATAAATCTAACTTTAATTTCTTAAAAGCTTAATTTTTTTCTTTAGTTGACACCAAAAATCTCCCCAGCCAGATCCACAAACTTTTTCGGTATTTTTCCTATTTTTTATATCATTCCAGGCAAGCGTTTTCTAACTCTCCCATCAGAATATGACTTTGGTGCGTTTTCCTCAGTCTCCACTGATGATTTTTTCTCATTATCCTTAAAGCCCTTTCCAGTAGACTTCTTAAGCTCTTTCAAGTTTTCAGTCTCCTTAAGGACCATTCAGTGTTTACTGTCAGTTCCCAGAATGCTTTTACAGGTTTTGCTATCATTTTCCTTGAAGTCTGTTCACTTTTCACTAACAGTCTTTGTGAAATCCTTCTGGCTTCTATCCATTGTCTGATTCCAAAGCCAATGCCACATAGTTTAAGTTTATATTATATTAGAGTGACATCTTATTCCACGTACCACAAACCACCTCAAAACTTAGCAGCTTAAAACAACAAACTTAAAAAAAATTGTGGACTTGTATTAGTGCAAGCAGGGCTTAGCTACATGATTCTGCTCCATGTGGTATTAACTGTAGCCATCTGTGGTATTCAGCTGGCAGCTGGGTAGTCTGGAGAGTTGAAGGTGGCTTCAGTGATGTGCCTGTTTTATTAGTGGATTGGATGAAATGTTGTGGTAAGGTGGGCCTCTCTTGCTCTCCGTGTAGTTTGAGAGCCTGTCTACATGATCTATTCAGCAGCAATATGGTTTGGCTGTGTCCCCACCCAAATCTCATCTTGAATTGTAGCTCCCATAATTTCCGTGTCTTGTGGGAGGGATCCAACGGGAGATAACTGAATCACAGGAGTATTTCCCCCATACTGTTCTCGTGGTCTTGAATAAGTCTCACAAGAGCTGATGATTTTATAAGGGGGTTCCCCTTTCACTTAGCTCTCATTCTGTCTTGTCTGCCATCATGTAGAGATGTGCCTTTTGCCTTCCACCATGATTGTGAGGCCTCCCCATCCACCTGGAAATGTGAGTCCATTAAGTGTCTTTTTCTTCATAAATCACTCAGTCTCAGGTATGTCTTTATCAGCAGCATGAAAACAGACTAATACAGTACATTGGTACTGGTAGAGTGGGGTGCTGTTGTAAAGATAACCCAAAAATGTGGAAGCGACTTTGGAACTGGGTAACAGGCAGGGGTTGAAACAGTTTGGAGGGCTCAGAAAACGACAGGAAAATGTGGGAAAGTTTGGAACTTCCTAGAGACTTGTTGAATGGCTTTGACTAAAATGTCAAATAATGATATAGACAATGAAATCCAGGCTGAGATGGTCTCAGATGGAGATGAGGAACTCAATGGGAACTGGAGTAAAGGTGTCTCTTGCTATCGAGAGAGACTGGCAGCATTTTGTCCCTGCCCTAGAGATTTGTGGAACTTTGAACTTGAGGGAGATGAGTTAGGGTATCTGGCAGAAGAAATTTCTAAGCAGCAAATCATTCAAGAGTGACTTGGGTGTGTTAAAAGCACTCAGTTTTAACAGGAAAACAGAGCATAAACGTTCAGAAAATTTGTAGCATGACACTGTGATAGAAAAGAAAAATCCATTTTCTGAGGAGAAATTCAAGCTGGCTGCAGAAATTTGCATAAGTAACAAGGAGCCAAATGTTAATCGCTAAGTCTTCAGGCCATGTCAGAGATCTTTGTGGCAGCCCCTTCCATCACACACCCAGAGGCCTAGGAGGAAAAAATGGTTTCATAGGCTGGGCCCAGGGCCCCTCTGCTGTTTGCCTGTGTACAGCCTAGGGACTTGGTGCTCTGTGTCCCAGCTGCTCCAGCCACAGCTAAAAGGGGTCAAGGTACAGCTCAGGCCATGGCTTCAGAGGGTGCAAGCCTCAAGCTTTGGCAGCTTCCATGTGGTGTTGAGCCTGTGGATTCACAGAAGTCCAGAATCGAGGTATGGGAGCCTCCACCTAGATTTCAGAGAATGTATGGAAATGCCTGGATCTCCAGATAGAAGTTTGCTGCAGGGGTGAGGTCTTCATGGAGAACCTCTGCTAAGGCAGTGGGGAATGGAAATGTGGGGTTGAAGCCCCCAACACAGAGTCCCCACTAGGGTACTGCCTAGTGGAGCTATGAGAAGAGGGCTGCTGTCCTCCAGACCCCGGAATGGTAGATCCACCGACAGCTTGCACTGTGTGCCTGGAAAAGCTGCATACAATGCCAGCCTGTGAAAGCAACCGGGAGGAAGGCTCTCCCCTGCAAAACCACAGGGGTGGAGCTGCCTGAGACCATGGGAACCCACCACTTGCATGAGTATGACCTGGATGTGAGACATAGAGTCAAAGGAGATCATTTTGGAGCTTTAAGATTTGACTGTCCCACTGGATTTCGGACTTGCTTGGAGCCTTTAGTCCCTTTGTTTTGGGTAAATTTTACCATTTGGAATGGCTGCATTTACCCAATGCCTGTACTCCTATCTTATCTAGAAAATAACTAAATTGCTTTTGATTTTACAGGTTTATATGTGGAAGAGACTTGCCCTGTCTCAGGTGAGACTTTGGACTGCCAACTTTTGAGTTAATGCTGAAGTGAGTTAAGACTTTTGGGGACTATTGGGAAGGCATGATTGGTTTTGAAATGTGAGGACATGAGATTTGGGAGGTGCCAGAGGCAGAATGAGGTGGTTTGGCTGTGTCCTTTCCCAAATCTCATCTTGAATTGTAGCTCCCATAATTCCCATGTGTTGTGGAGGGACCTGGTGAGAGATAATTGAATGATGGGGTGGCTCCCCCATACTGTTCTTATGGTCGTGAATAAGTCTCATGAGAGCTGATGACTTTACAAGGGGCTTCCCCTTTCACTCAGCTCTCATTGTCTCTTGTCTGCTCCCATGTAATGCATACTTTTCACCTTCTGCCATGATTGTGAGGCCTCCCCATCCACATGGAACTGTGATTCCATGAAACTCTTTTTATTCATAAATTACCCAGTCTTGGATATGTCTTTATCAGCAGCATGAAAATGGACTAATGCAAGCAGAATAAGCAGAATTCTTCGATACTGACTCAGCACCCCACACACGTTGGTTCCAAGATGTAGAAATGGAAGCTTCAAGGCTTTTAACATCTGGACATCAAAACTGGAAGTTTTACTTTCACTGTATTTTATTGGTCAAAGCAGTCAAAGAGCCCACCCAGGTTCAAGGAGAAAGAATATGTCCCCACGTTTTCAATGGGATGGTGCCACAAAATTTCTACTCATCTTAATTCACCACAGATAGAAATATGAAGAGCTCATTTGTTATGTTATTTGTGAATGCAGACTAAAGATATTTGTTGGTTTATATAGTAGTGGGAAAATAAGAACTTTTAAAATATTCAACTTTTAGCCCTTGACATGCAAAATGAGTTCATTACATGGTAAGGATGAGGGAGAAAGAAAAGATCTGAAAAAGTAGAAGAGTGATGGATTCAGAAAGTATAGGATGATTGTCAGTGTGATTGTTTTATCTAGCCACATATAGCTGTGTGGTATCAAGATGTAGAAGGCAGAGAGTAGGATTTATCAGGATTGTTGTTTGGAAGAGTGAGTACAATCATTACGAGGGAGCAAGGTATTGATCATGGAATATAAAGTGGGAAAAGAGGTAAGGTAAGAAGGATATCAGTAAAGTGAATGACAGCATAAATATGGTAGAACCATTGGATTGGTGGCTCTGGAGGAATTGAATAATTATTAGACTTGAAGCATTAGATGGTGCATTAGTGAGGGCATCTCCAACTAAGTCTACCATCAAGTCATGGTGATTTATTATCTCAAATATATGACAAATTTATCTACTTATTTCCAAAACTCCCATATCTAGTTTAAGTAATCAAATTTCTTGCCTTGGCAAGCATGTTGCTTTGTAATTGACTCACCTGTATCCAATTTGAATTCCTTAAAATCCATTCTATACATTGTAACCATAGTGATATTTACAAATGTGAAATCTGGTCAAATTATTCTTCTGCTTAGTAGTCTTGGATTTCTCATTCTCTTAGGAAGCATCTTCCACTACTTATTTCAGCATTATCTGCACAATGCTTCCCCTCACTTCCTCACAATGTGGTTTCAGGCACAACTCCCAAGGCCCCACTCTGGCCTCGGGGAGCAGATTGTTCCCCCTGCAGGAAAACCTTTGTTCTCCACTCAGTTAACTGCTGTTTACCCTTTAGATCTCAGCTTCAGTGTTGCTTTCTTAGGGGAAACTTCTCTGACTCACATCAAATCCCTCTCTTATAGTAATTTTCATTGTATTTCAGAGTAATTTTTATGGTTGCAATTTTACATTTGTGTGATTGTTTGATTAATCTCTGTCTCCTCCACGAAAACTCCAAGATGCAGGAACTATATCTTACTGGCATTCAGCACAATACCTGGCACATAGGTGTTCAAAAAATACTAATAGGGTAAATAAATGAATTAATTTTATGCTTTTATTTTAATATTTTCATGGTATTAATATTTATGTGATATTTTGTATGTACATATTTTCTTTTAATTTGAAGATTTATAGTTTATTTTAGTTATGTGCTGTATAAATTATATTTAGTTCTTTAATTTTTGTGTTATTTCCAAGGGTCCTCTCCATTGACTCTTTTAATATAGTTCCACTTTACCCCTTTAACCCACTTTCCTCTCCCACCTTCGTCATTCAACTTTATTTGATTTTGTTATTTTTAATTTTTCTAATAATGACCTTTATCTTTTAAAATAATATTTAATCACCCATAACATAATTTGTTGATTCTCTCCCACTGTGAAAGTTGAATGGACCAGAATATATTTCTACTATCTTTCTCTTCTTATTTTTGTTATGAATATAATTAGTCTTTATACAGTTATGGTTTGTAACATTTGCATTCTGTTCTTTAACCGCAAACCCCAGAACATTTTGATATTAGGCTTCAGAATGCTCACTTGTATCATGTTATCTCTATTCATTTTTAGTGGATAGTTTTCTTTTTTAAGTTTTTCTGATAGAGATGGGGTCTTGCTATGTTGCCCAGGCTGGTCTTATCTTGAACTCCTGGGCTCAAGTGATTCTCCTGCCTTGGCCTTTCAAAGTGTTGGGACTGTAGGTGTTAGCCCCTGCGCCTGGCCTCTAATAGTTGTCTTCATTAAAGCCTCATGGGGACTCTATTTTTTTTTTTTTTTGTGGGTTGTTTATTTTGTGTTTGTGAAGTCCGGTAAATTCAGTTGCATCTGCCTTGATGTGGTCATACTATAACACATTTTTTCTGGATAAAGATAAGCCCTTTAACCATTAGATTCAATGTTTTCTTCATTTCAGAAAAGTTTTCTTTTATCTTTGAATTTTTTAACCAGATATTGTGAGCTCTTTCACACTAATTTCTCATTTGTTGGACCTGACTTTAATGTTACATTTCACCTTCTTGTGTTTTCTATTTCGTTTTGCTCAGGATATATTTAAGCCTGTCATTTATATTCTTATCTGTGTTTTTAGCAGCATTATTCTCTCCACTTCCCACTTTTTTTCCTGCTTTTATTGATCTTCATTTCTTTCATGGTTGTCTTTACTCATTACATCCTGAATTTTGCCAGATTATTTTTTATCACTTTATTTTGTATTTATTTTCAATTATGTCTTCTAAATATCATTTCAGAGAGAAAACATTTTAGAGAAGGCATATTTTTAAAAAACATAGAAAATTTGATCCTGTTTTTTACTGCTTCATGGTATAATTTGTATGTTCTGTACCTTATGTAATTTTCCCTTTTTCTTCTAGTATTTTTATAAAGGTCATCAAGTTTTATTTTTGTAATACAATTATTATAAATAATTATATAATATTATTAGTCTTTGAATATTCTAGATACTTGTGAAAGGATATTGTGGAGGAGGAGCTGGGGGTAGTAAGTATGATGGAAGGCAGACGAGTTTTGGAATCTTGTCTCCAAAACACTCTCATCTGTTAGAATGACTCCTAGGCTATAGGATTGACTATGGCTTAGAGTGGATTCATAGTTGTTAATTTCGTCATGTGACTTGTGACTTATCCTTTTCTTTTCATAATAGAATGAAGATTGCCATCTGTCTGGCTTCTTCCCCATCTTTTTGCCTTCTTTCATTACACCACACACGTGTCCTAATTATTCCAAAGGTGATACATTTGCATGTTTCCCTTTAAACTCCTTTCCCTCTGTCACTCTGTGGAGGGTTCACATGCTGCAATATTTCTGTTCCAAGTAAAGATCACAGGTTTTGATCCTCAGTCCTCAGTATACACACCTCTTTTAGGGATTTCTGGGCTTCTTGACTAGCTCAAGCTCTTCAGAGGCATGCACTTTATCTTGGTGTTCAGTCTTGACTGGTTTAAACTTTTGATGTCCAGAAGGTTTTCTTCATGTGTTGTTGTGTGGAATTGTAAATATTTTCTAGCTTTTGTAAGGTTGTGGCTCATATTTATATTTCTCCTGGTTTGAAAGAAGAGAGAGAAAGAAGTATGTCAAATTGAGACTCTTAGATTGGAAATCTGAATTTATTTACACGATTGAGATTGATCTAGAGTTTTATTTTTTCTGCTGTAACTGAAATTTGGATTCAAGATTATATGTGTTTTGTGAATATGTTTGGTAACATTGTGACTTTTCTATAATTTAGGGAAGTTTGATGTAGGAGAAAGAGAAAAAATTTTTGAGAGAATCCTAAATTCATATATGGCCTAACCTTTTAATATCTATGTAATTTTAGATAATAAATAATTTGTTTGAGATTATGTGGCTCTAACAACACCTGCTTCACAGTGTAATTATGAGGATTTCATAGAATTTGTATAGTGAGCGTTAGTTTTGATGTTACTTTAAACCTCTTTGCCTTATACATTCTATTTTTTCCATGGAATATTATATGATTTCATGTCCACATATTAATCTCATACTTTCAATTACATTTTATGTTTAAATTGAATATTATGGTAATCGTTATGTAAATGATTAAAAATTTAAAGGGACAACATTTAATGTTGCTCTGGAATTCACCTTTAGTCATAAAATAAAGATTTAAAGTATCATCTGTAGACAATGGCAAAAGCCCTTTTTTGTCATAAGAAAATCAAATATGCTTTATTTCACCCAATTAACATGGCTATCCCGGGAAAACCAAAATGACCATAGGCGGTAATTCCCCAGGCCGTGTGATCTCAGTCTGGCATTCTCGGATCTCCAAGGCATCACTTTGGCCACTACCCTCTGGGGCTGTGATTAGCAGCTCTCTTCCTGTTTTATGCAGCTCTGTGTGTATGTCTGCAGTGATGCCGTACTGGATCTGGTTCATCTTGTGAGAACTATACCTATCTGAATTTTTGATGATGCTCTTTTCTTAGTTCCCTTGGCAAAACAGGTAGGTGAGGGATAGAAATAAAATCTATACTTAGTAAATCGGTGAGCCAAGGTCTGTGACTGGCAATGAGTGAATTACATTCTCCTCAGTTGGGTGCAATGTCTGCCTTCTGTGTGGCCATTTGCTGTTGCCACTAGAGAAGGAGGATGCAGCAGGGATCAGGCACCGTGGAGAAAAGTCGCCGTGTGTAGGCAGCTAAGAATGTAGGAAAATGAACATCTCGGCTCCCAAAGGACGAGAATAAAGCTGTAGAAGAATGTCAGGGAGGAATCTGAGTTGATCGTATGACTATTCATCCTTCTTCCCACATTTTCCCGACTGTTTAGCCCTACTTTTCTTCGCGTTGGGTCTCATTTTCCTTCCTGTGTGGCCTGTGCCTTATGGTCAGCTCGGACGTCCATCAGTCTATCAAATGTCTAGAAACCTTTCGCCCTTTGTCACCTTCTGTGTCACCCAGCATTCCCCTTCTCAGCCCTTTTCATTCTCATGGTGGAATCCTTTTGGTTTGATTTCAAGGGTCCAGCACTGTTGATGTCACAACAGAGTGGCATGGAAAGTTTCTGAAAATTTTGTCATCTAACCTCTCGTGGGGACTTTTAATTAATTCAGCTTTTGACAACTCCATCACATTCATTATATTATCCATTCATTCATTCATTAATACATTTGACATTTATAATGTGTGCCAACAATGTGCCAGGTCAAAACTGCCCACTTACAATGTAGAACATTTCTGTAAATTTTATTTCAATTTTCTTGTATTTCTTCTCCTTTATTCTACCATCCCACTTGATCTTCTGCCACAGAAGTTCTCTTCTCTCTCTCTTTGTTCTCTCTTCTCCTCCTTTATTCTTGATACCTGCTTCTGTGTTGGCTCCTTGAGGCCAGCACTTGTCCTCCTACCTCTGTGATGTTCTGTCTAGTTTATTGATTCCTTTTCCTACTTTACATAATCAATGTGGATAGTTTCTATAGTTGGGTCTTTGCTTTTTAATCTTTTTTTCCTGTGTATTATTTCCTTCAGGGACCTTATGCACTCTTACACATCCGTCTATTATTTTTATATGGATTACTATACAATTACATGTTGAATTTGTACTTTTCCCCCATATATCCTGTCATATGTTTTCACCTGAGCATCTCAATATCTAATACTCTTATTTGCTTAAAATACAAGTGATTATTTTCTCCACCCTGACATATTTTATGTTCAACTTTCTAATTTCTAAAAATGGACCTACCATTGTCCTATTTATTCTTGCTTAAATCTTGATATTTTCTTTGAGTTCATGCTCCTTCGTATTCACTCCAGCTGTGATAAGTCACCAATCCTTTGGGTTTTTACTTACCAGTATTTCTATTTCTGTTTCTATAGCCTTAAAGCTGGAACTGTGTAGTCCCAGTTCCTCTGTGTAGCCCCCCAAGTCTGCTCTATTTCAATCTTCTCTTAAGGGAACTCCTTCCCTCCGTTTTTCTTTTCCTCCATTTGATACATCACACTTATAGATGGGGCATCTTCCCTAATTACTGGCTTCATCCTCAATTCCCAGGACCCATACCTTCACTGGCTTCCTAAATTTATTTAATAATTCTCATATACCTTTGAGAAGTTTCTAATGATAGGCAACAAATGAATATTGACTACCTTTCTTATTTTCCTTTATTCACCAAAATGATTTTTAGGATGTAGACAATCTGTATGCTTCAACATACACCAAACTTACCATTTTTGAAATATTTTACAATCTACTTGAAAAGACTTCTTTAGACCCTATATTCATGTATTGTAATATTTATCCTCTTTTATGGCTATACTCAAATGCCACATCACTATAGTGCCTTCCCTCATCACTGTAGCTATCTCTTTTCACTCTACTTATATTGTAGAGGATTTGTTACACTTCTTGAACTGCTGATCTCAAGCGATTTGCTTGCTTTGGCCTCCCAAAGTGCTGGGCTGACAGGCGTGAGCCACTGCACCTGGCCTGATTTGTTCCACTTCTACTATATGCATCACACATGCCTGATGCATATTTTAATGCACGTTGGATAAGGATCGGCTTTGTACGACTTCAGTCTTTCTTGATGTGTGACACCCACTTCTATTTTGGCTCCACTTTAACAAAATGAATAAGTGAGAAGGTAATACTGGAAACAGAACATAACTGTGACTAGGAATTTGGTCTTGACTCGCCATTTAATTTTCTGATGTGCATGACTGTTTTCTTCACATGTGAAATTTAACATGAGGTTGAAACTGGAGAATTTTATATTTTTCATGAAAAAGGCAATTTGGGAGAAAAGTCCATTTTCCTGAGGATAAGGTATTGTATGGTTTGACTGCTTTGCCTTGGCTGGTCAACACATTTGTACACCTGGATAGGCACAGTTTTCAGAAATCCTTTCAAGCATCTACCAATTCTCCTGTCTACAAGTTTACCTTCCTCCCATTTCTCATTCCTAATGACAAGGGAAATATCCAGTGTTATCTGAAGTGGTCATAAAAGACATTTTTTTTCTTTTTATGTGAGGAATTGAAACTTATGGCTTTAGATTATGGGGCTTACCATCAAGGAAAGGGCGTAGCGTGGTCAGAGGACAAAACTTCTTCCTGCATTTCTCAGGAAGTCTTTGATTAGTGTGTCCACCTAGGAGCAATTTTTTTTGGGGGGGGCGCTGGGAAATATACTTAAGTGATTAAATCCAAGTGTAGACATGAGAGCTTTACCTAAAGCCAGGTCTAATTACCATACCTGAGAATCAGGGAGTATTTAAAATTTGAGAAATAATTTTCTATACTTGAAAGTCACTTATGTAGGTAGGCCTCAGATTATAATAAATAACGTTTATTGTGCTATACTATGTGGTAGGTATGAGGTTAAGTATTTTTACCTATATTATATCACTTATTTCTTACAAATGGAGCAAGGGAGCAAGCAAGCAAGGGAGGTATTATTATCCCTATTTTATGTATTTATGTATTTATTTTTGATTTCTATTCTTTTGGTTTTTTTGTTGTTTTTTATTGATGTATCATAGTTGTACATGTTTTGGGGTACATGTGATATTTTTGATACATGTATACAATGTGTAATGATCAAATCAGAGTAATTTGGATATTCATCACCTCGAATATTTATCTTTTCTTTGTGTTGGGAACATTATAATTTTTCTCTGCTAGCTATTTTAGAATATATAATAAATTATTGTTCCCTATGATTTCTCCATTGTATAATTGAATACTAAAATTTATTATGTCTATCTACATATCCCCAGTTCAATAACTATAATTTCTCTGCTGTGCAATCAAATACTAGAACTTCTTCCTTCGAACGCTATATCCCTAATTCAATAACAAGTAAACTGAAGCTCAGCATGGTCTAGGAACTTTGTTACGTTAACACAGCAAGTGAGTGTTGCAGCCTGGATCCAAAAATCAGGCCTGGTCGACCTCAAAGTCCAGATTATTGACCTTTCTACCATAATGTATGGAGGTAAGTTTGTGAATTTATTCAAAAATCAGGCCTGGTCAACCTCAAAGTCCAAATTATTAACCTTTCTACCATAATATATGGAGCTAAGTTTGTGAATTTTCATAGTTTTAGGATTTGAAGATAAAAGAGGTGAAAATTTGGAAATGGTTTCTGGACTTTTGAATTTTGGCAAACAGCTATGTGATAAGTCCACCCTGCAGACCCACAACTTTTGGAAATAACTCTACTGTGATCTTCAGTAGCAGAAGCTGCTCCTGGGGTGGTAGAACACAAGGAAAACACACACTAGTAAAAATTTCATGTGCCTTCTTTGTTCTGTACATGTGTTTCTCTTGATTAGTATATGGTAGTATCCTCAAATCATAGTAACAAGTATACTTTTTCCAGTGAATTGCATGTGTATATTATTGTATAGTATAAAAGGCAATATTTCCATTTATTATCATCTGTGCTTTTCAAAGAAACTCTGTGAGTCCAAAAGGGCAGATAATAGAAGCAACTGCCCTTTCTCTCCCCCTTTAAATGCAACCCAATGTCAAAGTCCGTAGCATCCCCAGATGAGTGTATTAAAGGTGAGAAATTCCCAAAGTCAAACTCAGTAGCATCCTTGAATGAGTGTATTAAAGGTGATAAATTTATTTTATTTATGTTCTTTTTAACCTGTGTTCTCAGAAACAGAGACTACTGTATTTCATCCTACCTTAGTCTTGCTTAGCAGTTTCTCTTCTCCTTTGAGGCTCTTTTATTTTTAAATCATTGTTCATATCTTCTAATCTCCCCTTTCTCCCATTCTTCCCATATTTTTAATCTTGTTTTAACTTTATCTCTGTTCTACTTTTTCTGTATTTCAAATTGATCCATAGACTTTAGAAAAATGAGTTGAATGCTGGCTGTAGGCTGTCTTATCCCCAGCAAGAAACATGTTGTAAAGTCTTAGTACCTTCCCACTGGAAGATCATTAGTCATGGCTACTATGTTTTTAAATGAGAATTGTTTTAATTATGCATTTTAAAATTATTGGAAAACATAAGGGAGAGGAATGAACCATAAGTAATAAAGATTATTGACTTGAAGTTAAGACCTTACTATGATCTGGGATTATTAGTCTTACTTGTCAATCAAGAACTATCCACTTTCTATTCGTTTGTGGGTATCTAATATGGTTATATACACAGAAGTAATGATAATTGATATGAAAAGGTCTCCTCCTGTTATATCAATTTAGGTATTTTTCACACATTGTATACCTCATTCTTCTCCTATTCAATTTTCACTAATTCCTAAAGGGTCAGGTCAATGTCCTTGGCATAACCTCCTCCACCTGTTCTTAATGGCAATCGTCTCTTCTGCCCTCCAATATCTATAACACTTTTTTCTTTAAAACTCTTTGAATGTTTATCTTAATACTCATTTGATATATATTGTATACCACATATGATTGTTTGTTATATGTACAATACATGTTTTTTCAACTTTTTTTGGTTCTTTCTATTTACAGGAATTAGAGAAAGAACAAATCAGTGTGAAGGAGAATTGTCAGTAAAATTACAAGAAAAGATTGAGATCATAATTGACCTTTGAGGATAATAAAATTTAAAGACCAAAAGGATGGACTTCACAGAAACATGACCTTAGGTTGTTTTTGCAGTTGTAGTAACTGGTTATATGACCAACAAAATATGAAGAATGGGTACAAATTCTGATAGTAATGATCAGTCACTTTGCAAATATAAAGTTACTATTTACTACTGTATTGTACAGGTTCAATAATCTTTGTGTACACATTTTATGTATTTATTGTCAGGCTGCTATATAATTCAGTATTTATAATAGATACTATGTATAGCAATCTATGGTTAGTTTTGGTCTTAACCAGGAAAAATCACTCTTTTGAGTTTTGCTGTTTTTACTAGATTATTTTTACTGGATGATTGCTCATATTATTTGATTATTATTGCAATTTGTCTTTCTGGAATAGGAAGCAAGAGGCCTGAATTCTGGTTCCTATTCTATCAATTGTGTGAATTCTGGAAACTCAGTTTACTTTTCTGGGCCTCATGGTTTTCATCTGAATGATGACCAACTTGGATAAAATGGCCTTTATATAATTTCGTAGGCATTTCCCTTCCCAAGGGCTTGAGTCTTTTTCAACAATTATAGAGTTTTCCGGTCCCTCTTCCCAGTGCCTCAGCACCTTGCTATTCATGTTCATCTGATCAGTTGTTTGCATGCTGACTTACATTACCCTGATGGGCAGTACCTGTGGCTGTTTCTGCTCCCTCACCCAGTCCATAGGCTTCTGGTTGTAAAAAGTGTGCATCTTGAGACTGTGGACAGTTAGCTCCAGAGGTGACAGTATAATCACTTCACGTAGAAGAGGATAGAGAGAGACTCATGCCAGTGGTGGTGAGCAAGTATTAGAGATATGATGTGTGCCTCTGTGAGTTTTGGGGTCTAAGATAAATTATGGCACTAGGAAGATGGTCCTTTGTGTCAGAAGAACTGGAGTTGTTGGTGCAAAAAAGTATGATGTCAGCATAGCAGTTTTATTTGTACCTCAGCAACTTCTAAAATAATCTCTATTAAGTGTTTTCAGGAACTACTTTCTACTATAGGAAAATCATTGAGGTGAGTATCCATCTGGACACAGAGAAATATAACACTGTTTTCTGCTCACCCTCCACTTCACATATAAATACAACATGTGTTAAAGGACTAAATTTCTAGTGTCACAGTTTGTACTTTATAGTTTGAAGTCAATAAGAAAGCTCATATACCTTCCTAAAAGTCACTTGTTAATGTTTGATATTAATCTAATTTTATCATAAATTAAAAGTATAAAACTACAAATTTCTTAAAGATAAAATATCCAAATGGATTCAGTCAAATTAAGCATGATAATATCAAATATCAGAATAGGTTACCATGCAGGAGGTACTGAGTACTTAAAAGGATGGGGAATGCAATGAACATAAAAGCTGGTACCAAGGGGAGGAGGAGACAGTGATGAATTAAAACATTATCTTAACTAATCCAAGTGCTGGTCTTCTATACTTTCATGTGTATAGACAAAGAGAAACTGCAGAGATTTCTCACAACCTCTGTGGCCATTTTATGCATCTTAGCAAAAACTCTGGTGAAATCCCTCCAAAACATATTTATTAGGCATGGAAAAAGCCTTACATGACAGGTGGCATAGGCTCCTTATGAAATCACTGCAGGATGGGAAGCCATTTAGGGCTTCGTAATTGTGAAAGATTGTATAGAAACTGAGGCACTTAAATAGCAGTGAGCATGAGAAAATGTGGTAGATAATGGTGGTGATTCTATTTCTTGTGAAAGTCCACTTACTCTGTTCTGCTACAGTTGTGGGCTTTCCGATTTCACATACCCCAGTCTCTATATTCTGTCTCAATCCACAGCCTACCTCAACTAAGTCCGTCCCAGGCACCTCTTACTGCAGGTGATAATCCATCTGTTAATCATGTTTTCCTCTTATGTCTACTTTCTGTCAGAGAATTGTGGCTGCAAACTGGGAAGGGAAGGAAATTATAAGAATATGTATAAGTACAAATGGAATATGTTGGAAATGAGGAATAGTTAATATCACAGGTCATTTAAACACCTGATGAATTTCATGGATAGTCAGGAATCTTGTTCTTACCTAATCTGTTAATTTTAGATCAGACATTACACTGAAAGTATTGATGATGGGTTTAAATCAGGTTGCAGCTCACATGTTGTGATAATATTATGTTGATTTTTTGTTTTTAATATGTGAGGAACAGAATAACTGTATACTATTTATTCATAGTGACATTGCAATATTGATTTTAGTACATATTATTATCTTCATAATCACAATTTCCTCCCCATTTTCTTAGTTCTCATAATTTTAGCCACAGCCCAGTTGGCTGGACCAATGGATGGAGAGAATCACTCAGTGGTATCTGAGTTTTTGTTTCTGGGACTCACTCATTCATGGGAGATCCAGCTCCTCCTCCTAGTGTTTTCCTCTGTGCTCTATGTGGCAAGCATTACTGGAAACATCCTCATTGTATTTTCTGTGACCACTGACCCTCACTTACACTCCCCCATGTACTTTCTACTGGCCAGTCTCTCCTTCATTGACTTAGGAGCCTGCTCTGTCACTTCTCCCAAGATGATTTATGACCTGTTCAGAAAGCGCAAAGTCATCTCCTTTGGAGGCTGCATCGCTCAAATCTTCTTCATCCACGTCATTGGTGGTGTGGAGATGGTGCTGCTCATAGCCATGGCCTTTGACAGTTATGTGGCCCTATTAAGCCCCTCCACTATCTGACCATTATGAGCCCAAGAATGTGCCTTTCATTTCTGGCTGTTGCCTGGACCCTTGGTGTCAGTCACTCCCTGTTCCAACTGGCATTTCTTGTTAATTTACCCTTCTGTGGCCCTAATGTGTTGGACAGCTTCTACTGTGACCTTCCTCGGCTTCTCAGACTAGCCTGTACCGACACCTACAGATTGCAGTTCATGGTCACTGTTAACAGTGGGTTTATCTGTGTGGGTACTTTCTTCATACTTGTAATCTCCTACATCTTCATCCTGTTTACTGTTTGGAAACATTCCTCAGGTGGTTCATCCAAGGCCCTTTCCACTCTTTCAGCTCACAGCACAGCGGTCCTTTTGTTCTTTGGTCCACCCATGTTTGTGTATACATGGCCACACCCTAATTCACAGATGGACAAGTTTCTGGCTATTTTTGATGCAGTTCTCACTCCTTTTCTGAATCCAGTTGTCTATACATTCAGGAATAAGGAGATGAAGGCAGCAATAAAGAGAGTATGCAAACAGCTAGTGATTTACAAGAAGATCTCATAAATGATACAATAAGCCCTTCTTGTTAAACATGATATGGCTTTATGTTTCTTTCTTTGATATTTTAGATTCAGGAACTATGAGACATTATGTATTGATTTGAATGTTATTAGACCTGTAACATAATTCTTATCTGATGAATATATGATGAATATATTCCTTGTTCAAAATGAGTCATAAATTCAACACATCTCTACATCTATATTATGCCCATTTAATTTCTTTCAGCAATGTTTTGTAGTTTTTGGTGAACAGGTACTTTATGCATATGTACTTTATATTTATCTCTAAGTTTTATATTTCTGATGCCCTTTTAAGTGACATTTTTATTTCAATTTACAATTGTTTATTCTTAGCTTATGGGCACATAATAGATCTTTGTTTGACATTATATCCTGTAAACTTGCAAAACTTATTAGTTCCATCAGTTTTTTATAGGTTATGTAGGATTTTCTTTATAGATGATTATGTTGTCAGTGAATAAAGACATTTGCTTTTAAAATTCTAGTATGAATTCACTATATTCATTTTGTTGAATGCTGAGTAGAATTAGTTAGAGCAGACATCTTTGACTTGTTCCTGTTATGAAATATATTAAATATTTCATCATTAAGTATAATGTTAGCTATAATTTTTTTCATAGGTACTCTTTAACAGGCTGAGAAAGTTTTCTGTATTCACAGTTTGCTGAAAATTTCTTTTATCTTTAGTCAGGAATGGATCTTGGATTTTGTAAAGCTTTTTCATTTCAGAATCAGGGTAATGCTGGCCCTTTAGAATGAGTTGGGAAGCATCTGCTCTTCTTAAATTTTCTGCCATAATTTTGTAGAATTCATATAATTTTTTTCTTTAAAAAGGGAAGTACTTAAGTATTTTTTCCCTTAAGTTACCCATAAGTAAATCTAAAGGAAAGTGGGAAACTTTGATACGCATTGGTTGCCCCCTGGTGGAGATTTCTGGGTTCTTGATTATTTTAACACTGGAGATAGAATCTGGTGGAATGATGTCAATGCTACCGTGATTAAGAGGTGTGTAGGAAATGCTTCATGTAAGAGAGAAAATAGTCTTTATGAGAATCTGCCTGGTGGAAAGGAGTTGGTGCAACAATAACAATATAAATTAGTGAAAAATTTTAAATTGACAAATAATAATTGTATCTATGGGGTACAATGTAATGTTTTGATACATGTTTAAATTGTGGAAAGATTAGGTCTATCTTATTGACATACATATCTTTTTTGTGGTGAAAACATTTAAAATCTACTCTGTTAGTCATTTTGAAACATACAATACCTTGTTATTTATTACAGTCACCATTCCGTGCAATAGTTCACTGAAACTTTGTCTAACTGAAACTTTGAACCCTTTTATCAACATCTACCTTTTCCATGTCTACCCCCAACTCCTAGCCTCTGATAATCACCATTCCATTCTCTACTTCTATGAATTCAACTTTTTCAGATTCCACATATCAGTGAGATCATGTGATATTTGTCTTTTCGTGCCTGGCTTATTTCACTTAGCGTGATATCTTCTGGGTTAATTCATGTTGTCACATATATCAGGTTTTCCTTCCTATTAAGGCTGAGTAGTATTCCATTGTATATATACACTACATTTTCTTCATCCATTTGTCAGTTGATAGACACCTGTGTTGATTTCATATTTGGGTATTGTGAATAATGCTGCAATGAACATGAGCCTGGAGATATCTCTTCAGCATATTGACTTAAATTCCTTTGGATATATACAAGGAAGTGGGATTGCTGGATCATATAGTAATTCTAGTTTTAGTTTTTTGAGTAACTTTTATCTATTTTTCATAATAGTATTAATTTACATTTCCACCAACAGTGTACGAGGGTTCCCTTTTCTCTGTATCCTCTTCAACACTTGTTATCTTTTATCATTTTGATAGTAGCCATTCTAACAGGTATGAAGTGGCATCTCACTGTCATTTTAATTTGCATTTCCCTGATAATTAGGATGACAAACTTTTTTTATGTTAGTCATTTGTATTTTTTTTGAGAAATGTCTATTTAGGACCTTGCCCATTTTTTGACTTGGTTATTTGTTTTCTTGATATTGAGTTGAGTCCCTTATATATTTGGAGATTAGCCTTTCATCAGATGTACGCTCTGCAAATATTTTCTCACAACTTGTAGGTTGTCTCTTCACCATATTGTTTCCTTTGCTGTGCAGAAGCTTTTTAGTTTGATGCAATCCCATATATTTTTGCTTTTGTTGCCTGTGCTTTGGGGGTTATATCCAAGAAATCTTTGACCAAACCAACATTGTGGAACTTTTCCCCTATGTTTTCATCTAGTAGTTTTACAGTTTTATGTTTAAACCTTTAATCCATTTTGAATTGATTTTTGTGTATGGTGTGAGATAAGGATACACACCATACACATTCATGTTCTTCTGCATGTGGATATCTAGTTTTCTTAACACCATTTATTGAAACAAATGTCTATTCTTCATTACGTTTTCTGGGCACCTTTGTCAAAAATTTATTGGTCATAAATGCATGAGTTTATTTCTGGGTTCCTTATTCTGTTCCCCTGGTCAATGTGTCTGTTTTTGTGCAAGTGTCATGTTGTTTTGATTACTATGGTTTTGTGATACGTATTTGTTTTGGGGGGGGATCAATTTTTATTTGGGTTTCTCACAGTGGTTAGAGAACAACCACAGCACAGGAAATGCATCGCCAAGATTGCCCAGAAAACTGACCAGCTGCATCTTATTGCTTAAAAATACACATATTCACAATAACTGACAAATGGTGATGTGCCTCACACAGGAATGTGTTCACATTTGCAATGCTGTGTACAGACTTCACTTCGTTCAACATAGATTTTGGTTTAATGGAATTCAAATGCGGATGCTTGTTCACAGCCTTGGATTTGTCTGTTTTTGGAGAGATACAACCTCCATGAGTATATCTGCATGAAAACCACAGACAATGAAGGTATTTCTTCATTGATTTATTTATTCTTTTGACTGTAGCAACAAACCCTGGATGACATCCTTCCTTTTAATTCACCTGGAAACCAGACTCAATCAAATCTCCCTGGTCCCCTCACTATTCCTTCAAATTCCCTATTTCTATCTCTTCCTGAGGAGGGTAACCTCCTGTAGCAGGGGTCAGACTGTGACTTGGGAATCAAGCCTAGGTCTGCAGGTTGCCTTTTCATCTTCTTGTAAAATATTGTAGGACACTGCAGTGAATCCAACAGTTAACACTCAGAGCAGTTCCCTGCTCTAACTCAGGAAAGAGACTTCAGAGGGTCAGGATTCATCCATTTGATCAGTTAACTGAGAAGGATTCATTTCGGTAAAACTTGTTCAGCTTTGAGACACTTCAGTGAGTTGTTTGAGATTTTTTTTTAAATTATATTTTAAGTTCTGGGGTACATGTGCAGAACATGAAGGATTGTTACATAGGTATACACGTGCCATGGTGGTTTGCTGCACCCATCAACCCATCATCTACATCAGGTATTTAACCCAATGCTAACCTTCCCCCAGCCCCTACCCCCAGACAGGCCCCGGTGTGTTGTGTTCCCCTCCCTCTGTCCATGTGTTCTCATTGTTCAACTCCCATTTATGAGTGAGAACATCGGGTGTTTGGTTTTCTGTTCTTGGATTAGTTTGCTGAGAATGATGGTTTCCAGCTTCATCCATGTCCCTGAAAAGGATATGAACTCATCCTTCTTTATGGCTGCATAGTATTCCATGGTGTATATGTGCCACATTTTCTTTATGCAGTCTATCATTGAATGGGCATTTTGGTTGGTTCCAGGTCTTTGCTATTGTGAACAGTGCCACAATAAACATATGTATGCATGTGTCTTTATGGTAGAATGATTTATAATCCTTTGGATATATACCCAGTAATGCGATTGCTGGGTCAAATCATATTTCTAGTTCTAGAACCTTGAGGAATCACCACACTGTCTTCCACAATGGTTGAACTAATTTACACTCCCACCAACAGTGTAAAAGCATTCTTATTTCTCCACATCCTTTCCAGCATCTGTTGTTTCCTGACTTTTTAATGATCGCCATTCTATCTGGCGTGAGATGGTATCTCATTGTGGTATTGATATGCATTTCTCTGATGACCAGTGATGATGAGCTTTTTTTCATATGTTTGTTGGCTGCATAAATGTCTTCTTTAGAGAAATGTCAGTTCATATCCTTCACCCACTGATGGGTTTGTTTGTTATTTTCTTGTAAATTGTTTAAGTTCTTTGTAGATTCTGGATATTAGCCCTTTGTCAGATGGATAGATTGCAAAAATTTTCACCCATTCTGTAGGTTGCCTGTTCACTCTGATGATAGTTTCTTTTGCTGTGCAGGAGCTCTTTAGTTTAATTAGATCCCATTTGTCTATTTTGGTTTTTGTTGCAATTGCTTTTGGTGTTTTAGTCATGAAGTTTTTGTCCATGCCTATGTACTGAATGGTATTGCCTAGGTTTTCTTCTAGGGTTTTTTATGGTTTTAGATCTTATGTTTAAGTCTTTAATACATCGTGAGCTAATTTTTGTGTAAGGTGTAAGGAAGGGATCCAGTTTCAGTTTTCTGCATATGGCTAGCCAGTTTTCCCAACACCATTTATTAAAAAGGGAATCGTTTCCCCATTGCTTGTTTTTGTCAGGTTTGTCAAAGATCAGATAGTTGTAGATGTGTGGTGTTATTTCTGAGGCCTCTGTTCTGTTCCATTGGTCTACATATCTGTTTTGGTACCAGTACCATGCTGTTTTGGTTACTGAAGGCTTGTAGTATAGTTCGAAGTCAGACAGCGTGATGCCTCCAGATTTGTTCTACTTGCTTAGGACTGTCCTAGCTCTGCGGGCTCATTTTCGGTTCCATATGAAATTTAAAGTAGTTTTTTCCAATTCTGTGAACAAAGTCAGTGGTAGCTTGATGGGGATAGCATTGAGTCTATAAAAACTTTGGGCAGTATGTCCATTTTCATGATATTGATTCTTCCTATCCATGAGCATGGAATGTTTTTCCATTTGTTTGTGTCCTCTCTTATTTCCTTGAGCAGTGGTTTGTAGTTCTCCTTGAAGAGGTCCTTCACATCCCTTGTAAGTTGGATTCCTAGGTATTTTATTCTCATAGCAGCAATTGTGAATGGGAGAGTTCACTCATGTTTTGGCTCTCTGTTTGTCTGTTTTTTGCATATAGGAATGCTTGATTTTTGCACATTGATTTTGTATCCTGAGACTTTTCTGAAGTTGCTTATTAGCTTAAGAAGATTTTGGGCTGAGACCATGGGGTTTTCTAAATACACAATCATGTCATCTGCAAACAGAGACAATTTCTTTCTCTTGCCTGATTGCCCTGGCCAGAACTTCCAATACTACGTTGAATAGGAGTGGTGAGATAGGGCATCCTTGTCTTGTGCTGGTTTTCAAAGGGAATGCTTCCAGTTTTTCACCATTCAGTATTGGCTGTGGGTTTTTCATAAATAGGTATTATTATTTTGAGATATGTTCCATCAGTACCTAGTTTATTGAGGGTTTTTAGCATGAAGGGCTGCTGAATTTTGTCGAAGGCCTTTTCTGCATCTATTGAGAGAAGCATGTGGTTTTTGCCATTGGTTCTATTTATATGATGAATTATGTTTATTGATTTGCGTATGTTGAACTAGCCTTGTATCCCAGGGATGAAGCCGACTTGATTGTGGTGGACAAGCTTTTGATGTGCTGCTGGATTTGGTTTGCCAGTATTTTATTGAGGATTTTTGCATCGATGTTCATCAGGGATATTGGCTTGAAATTTTCTTTTTTTGTGTGTGTGTCTCTGCCAAATTTTGGTACCAGAATTATTCTGGCCTCATAAAATGAGTTAGGGAGGATTCTCTCTTTTTCTGTTGTTTGGAATAGTTTCAGAAGGAATGGTACCAACTCCTCTTTGTACCTCTGGTAGAATTCGGCTGTGAATCCATCTGGTCCTGGACTGTTTTTTGGTTGGTAGGCTATTAATTACTGCCACAATTTCAGACCTTGTTATTGGTCTATTCAGGGATTCAACTTCTTCCTGGTTTAGTCTTGGGAGGGCGTATGTGTCCAGGAATTTGTCCATTTCTTCTAGATTTTCTAGTTTGTGTAGAGGTGTTTATAGTATTCTCTGATAGTAGTTTGTATTTCTGTGGGATCAGTGGTGGTATCTCCTTTATCATTTTTTATTGCATCTGTTTGATTCTTCTCTGTTTTCTTCTTTATGATTCTGGCTAGTGGTCTATCTATTTTTTTGATATTTTCAAAAAACCAGCTCCTGGATTCATTGATTTTTTTTTGAAGGTTTTTTTGTGTCTCTATCTCCTTCAGTTCTGCTCTGATCTTAGTTATTTATTGTCCTCTGCTAGCTTTTTGTATGCTCCTGCCTCTTGAGTTCTTTTAATTGAGATGTTAGGGTGTCAATTTTAGATCTTTCCTGCTTTCTCTTGTGGGCATTTGGTGCTATAAATTTCCCTCTACACACTGCTATAATTGTGTACCAGAGATTCTGGTATGTTATGTCTTTGTTCTCATTGGTTTCAAATAACTTATTTATTTCTGCCTTAATATCTTTATTTACCCAGTAGTTGTTCAGGAGCAGGTTGTTCAGTTTACATGTAGTTGTGTGGGTTTGAGTCAGTTTCTTAATCCTGAGTTCTAATTTAATTGCACTGCGATCTGAGAGACTGTTATGATTCCCATTTTTTTTTTGCATTTGCTGAGGAGTGTTTTACTTCCAAATATGTGGTCAATTTTAGAATAAGTGCAATGTGGTGCTGAGAAGAATGTATATTCTGTTGATTTGGGGTGGAGAGTTCTGTAGCTGTCTATTGGATCCACTTGGTCCAGAGCTGAGTTCAAGTCCTGGATATCCTTGTTAACTTTCTGTTTCGTTGATCTGTCTAGTATTGACAGTGGGGTGTTAAAGTCTCCCACTATTATTGTGTGAGGGTCTAAGTCTCTTTTTAAGTCTCTAAGAGCTTACTTTATGCATCTGGGTGCTCCTGTATTGGGTGCATATATATTTAGGATAATTAGCTCTTCTTGTTGCATTGATCCTTTTACCGTTATGCAATGCCCTTATTTGTCTCTTTTGATCTTTGTTGGTTTAAAGTCTGTTTTATCAGAGACTAGGATTGCAACCCCTGCTTTTTTTTGCCTTCCATTTGCTTGGTAAGTATTCCTCCATCCCTTTATTTTGAGCCTATTTGTGTCTTTGCACGTGAGATGGGTCTCCTGAATACAGAACACTGATGGGTCTTGACTCTTTAGCCAATTTGCCAGTCTGTGTTTTTTAATTGGAGCATTTAGCCCATTTACATTTAAGGTTGATATTGTTATGTGTGAATTTGATCCTGTCATTACGATGCTAGCTGGTTATTTTGCTGTTAGTTAATGCAGTTTCTTCATAGTGTCAATGGTCTTTACAATTTGGTATGTTTTTGCAGTGGCTGATACCAGTTGTTCCTTTCCATGTTTAGTGCTTCCTTCAGGAGCTCCTTTAAGGCAGGCCTGGTGGTGACAAAATCTCTCAGCATTTGCTTGTCTGTAAAGGATTTTATTTCTCCTTCACTTATGAAGCTTAGTTTGGCTGGATATGAAATCCTGGGTGGAAAATTCTTTTCTTTAAGAATGTTGAATATTGGCCCCCATTCTCTTCTGGCTTGTAGAGTTTCTGCTGATAGATCTGCTGTTAGTCTGATGGGCTTCCCTTTGTGGGTAACCTGACCTTTCTCTCTGGCTGCCCTTAACATTTTTTCCTTCATTTCAACCTTGCTCAATCTGATGACTATGTGTCTTGGGGTTGCTTTTCTTGAGGAGTGTCTTTGTAATGTTCTCCATATTTCTGAATTTGAATATTGGCCTGCCTTGCTAGGTTAGGGAAGTTCTCCTGGATAATATTCCGAAGAGTGTTTTCTAACTTGGTTCCATTCTCCCCATCACTTTCAGGTACAGCAATCAAACGTAGATTTGGTCGTTTCACATAGTCCCATATTTCTTGGAGGCTTTGTTCATTTCTTTTCATTCTTTTTTCTCTAATCTTGTCTTCTTGATTTATTTCATTAAGTTGATATTCAGTCTCTGATATCTTTCTTCCGCTTGACCGAATCAGTGCTTGATCCTTGTGCATGCTGCATGAAGTTCTCATGGCGTGTTTTTCAGCTCCATCAGGTCATTTATGTTCTTCTCTAAACTAGTTATTCTAGTTAGCAAGTGGTCTAGCCTTTTTTCCAGGTCCTTAGCTTCCTTACATTGGGTTAGGACATGCTCCTTTAGCTTGGAGGAGTTTGTTATTACCTACCTTCTGAAACCTACTTCTCTCAATTCGTCAAACTCATTCTCTGTCCAGTTTTCTTTTGTTCCCTTGCTGGTGAGGAGTTGTGATCCTTTGGAGGAGAAGAGGCGTTCTGGTTTTTGGAATTTTCAGCCTTTTTGCTCTGGTTTCTCTCCATCTTCATGGATTTATCTACCTGTGGTTTCTGATGTTGGTGACCTTCTGATGGGGTCACTGAGTGGCTGTCCTTTTTGTTGATGTTGATGCTATTCCTTTTTGTTTGTTAGTTTTCCTTCTAACAGTCAGGCCCCTCTGCTGCAGGTCTGTTGGGGTTTGCCCTAGGTCTACTCTAGACCCTGTTTGCCTGGGTATCACCAGCAGAGGCTGGAGAACAGCCAAGATTGCTGCCTGTTTCTTCCTCTGGAAGTTTTGTCCCAGAGGGGCACCCACCAGATGCCAGCCAGAGCTCTCCTGTATGAGGTGCCTGTTGGCACCTACTGGGAGGTGTCTCCCAGTCAGGATACACGGGGGTCAGAGACCCACTTGAGGAGGCAGTCTGACCCTTATCAGAGCTCGAATACTGTGCTGGGAGATCTGCTGCTCTCTTCAGAGCCATCAGGCTTTTCAAAGATGCTTTAAGTCTGCTGAAGCTGTGCCCACAGCCACCCTTTCCCCTAGGTGCTCTGTTCCAGGGAGATGGGGGTTTTATCTATAGGTCTCTGACTGGGGCTGCTGCCCTTTTTTCAGAGATGCCTTGCCCAGAGAGGAGAAATCTAGAGAGGCAGTCTGGCTGCTGTGGCCTTGCTGAGTTGTGGTGGGCTCCACCCAGTTCAAACTTTCTGGTGGCTTTGTTTACACAGTGGGGGTAAAACTGCCTACTCAAGCCTTGGCAATGTGGAAGCCCCTCCCCCCACCAAGCTCTAGTGTCCTAGGTCAATCTCAGACTGCTGTGCAAGAATTTCAAGCCAGTGGATCTTAGCTTGCTGGGCTCTGTAGGGGTGGGACCCGCCGAGCCAGACCACTTGGCTCCCTGGCTTCAGCCCCCTTTCCAGGAGAGAGAATGGTTCTGTCTTGTTGGCATTCCAGTTGCCACTGTGGCATGAAAAAAAAAAAACCTCCTGCAGCTAGCTCGGTGTCTGCCCAAACAGCTGCCTAGTTTTGTGCTTGAAACCTAGGGCCTTGGTGGCAGAGGCACTGGAGGGAATCTCCTGGTCTGTGGATTGTGAAGACCATGAGAAAAGCATAGTTTCTGGGTGGAGTGCACCGTTCCTCATGGTACAGTCCCTCGGGGCTTCCCTTGGCTAGGGGAGGGAATTCCCCCAACCCCTTGCACTTCCTGGGTGAGGCAACGCCCCATTCTGCTTTGGCTCACCCTCCGTGGGCTGCACCCACTGTCCAACCAGTCCCAGTGAGATGAACCAGGTACCTCAGTTGGAAATGCAGAAATCACCTGCATTCTGCATTGATCTCACTGGGAGCTGCAGACTGGAGCTGTTCCTATTTGGCCATGTTGCCAGCAAATTCTGAGATTTTTTTCAAAAGTGCAAAGAAAGACATCTGAGGGGTGCTGACATATTCAGGTCACCTCAAGCCACATGCCAGCTTGCTTGCCCCTGTTGGATTCAGCAGAGGGAGATAGGCCTTGCCATACCTGTGGTGTCTGCCAAAGCTTCCTCCTGGCAATTCTTGGGAGTGCTGATACCTGGGCCACAGTTAGTCCAAGTTTATCACTGAAGATCCTATCAAAGTTTTGTCTGAAATTCCACTTTTGCCTTTTGTCCTAAGTGGTTGTGGACATTTCCAGGGGCTGATACCAAGGACTAGGAACAGCTGAGGGAGGCAGAAAGGTTCAGAGTACATCTCTATTTACAGGGAACAGAACACCGGCCTCCGAGAGTCCATGGAGCAATGGGAAAATTGCAGTGATTACTCATCACTGTGAAACTTCTACTTTGAATACAGTATCTTCTGGCAAGCATAGGGGACTGCAGTCGACAATGCTGCTGAATATACCTGAGTACATAGGAAGACATTTGTTTGGTAAACAGTCAATGCATACAATAAATTACCTTGAGAGGGCCATCTGTGCTCCAGATGTGAGAGTTCATGTGAATAGAATGGCCGCAATTCAAAGAATCTTCACAGGAAAACAGGGCTCAGAGCTCATCCACAATGGACAGACAGGGAGGGAAACAGGTGGAGGTTAGTTCACCACTTCCTCATAAGAAGGTAATAAATAGTTTGGTGAAATAAAATGGTAGCACTGAGTAATTGCGGGCTTCTGGATAGGCAGTCAGGTTGATTTCATGTTGCTACTGCTGGACTTGAGGGCTGGCTTGGCTGTGGTGGCAGACACAGCAGCAGCTCAGGATGATGGTGATGGTCCATGCCAGCCAGAACCACCAATGTTCATAGTAGTAGTTACAACACTGAGACTGCCCATAGCAGTGTCCTGTTGTGTCACAGATGTAGCTTTGATTGTTGGTACACACACAGGCTTCCTTATCCTGTGGGGGTTCAGCCCTGGCTGACACAGGGCTGGGCAGTGCCTAGAGGTGCAAGAGCTCCATGCCACCCAGGAGTCTTCCCTCCATACTCCTCCTGCTCCTCCGACCCAGCGTGGGCACCTCCCTCCACCCTTGCTGCACTTCTCCTCTACCCTCTTCTTCCTTCTTTTGTTCTTTTCCTGTAATATGTTTTGAAGTCAGATTGTGAGGCCTTCAGCTTTGTTCTTATTGCTCAAGAGTCCTTTAGTTATTCAGGATCCTTTGTGGTTCCATATAAATTTTCAAATTGTTTTTTCTATTTCTGTGAAGAATGACATTGAAATTTTGATAAATATTGCATTAAACCTATAAATCGCTTTGGGCAGTAAGGACATTTTAAGAATATTAATTCTTCCTACCCATGAACATAAAATATCTTTCCATGTATTTGTGTCATCTACAATTTTTCATCAATGTTTTATAGTGTTCAGAATACAGATCTTTCACCTCCTTGGTTAAATGTACTCCTAAGTACAATCCTAAATGTGCTCCTAAACAAAAAAAATACGTTTTTTTTGATGCTACTGTGAATGAGATTGATTTCTTTATTTTTGTCATATAGTTTGTTGTGAGTGTAAAGAAACTACTGAGTTTTGTACATTGATTTTGAATTCTGAAATTTTATTGAATTCATTTATCATTTCTAATAGCTTTTTGGTGGAGTTTTTAGGGTTTCCTATATATAATATGTCATCAAACAGAGACAATTTTACTTCTTCCTTTTCAATTTGAATCTTTTATTTCTTTATTTGGCTTAATTGCTCTGGCTAGGACTTCCAGAAATAAGTTGAATAGAAGTAGTGAGAATAAATATCCTTGTCTTGTTTTTGATCTTAGCAGAAAAGATTTCACTTTTTCATTGTTGGGTATGATGTGAGCTGTGAGCTTGTTATATATGTCCTGTTTTGTGTTAAGGTACATGCCTTCTATGCCCAATTTGTTGAGAGGTTTAGTCATGAGAGGATTTTGAATTTAGTCAAATGCTTTTTCTGCATATATAGAGATAGCTATTTTTTTATCCTTCATTCTGTTAATGTGGTTTATCACATTTGATTTGTGTTTGCTGAAACATCTGGAGGATAAATCCACTTTATCATGGTAAATGTTCTCCTAATATGTTGTTAAATTCTGTTTGCTAGTACTTTTTTTTGAGGACTTTTGTATCTGTGTTCATCAGGGATATTGGTTGGCCCATACTTTTCTTATAGTGTCCTTGTTTGCCTTTTTATTTTTATTTTTATTTATTTATTTTTTAAATTATACTTTAGGTTTTAGGATACATGTGCACAACGTACAGGTTAGTTACATATGTATACATGTGCCATGCTGGTGTGCTGCACCCATTAACTCATCATTTAACATTAGGTATATCTCCTAATGCTATCCCTCCCCCCTCCCCCCACCCCACAACAGGCCCCAGTGCTAATATCCGGAATCTACAATGAACCCAAACAAATTTACAAGAAAAAAACAAACAACCCCATCAAAAAGTGGGCAAAGGATATGAACAGACACTTCTCAAAAGAAGACATTTATGCAGCCAAAAAACACATGAAAAAATGCTCACTATCACTGGCCATCAGAGAAATGCAAATCAAAACCACAATGAGATACCATCTTACACCAGTTAGAATGGCCATCATTAAAAAGTCAGGAAACAACAGGTGCTGGAGAGGATGTGGAGAAATAGGAACATTTTTACACTGTTGGTGGGACTGTAAACTAGTTCAACCATTATGGAAGACAGTGTGGCGATTCCGCAGGGATCTAGAACTAGAAATACCATTTGACCCAGCCATCCCATTACTGGGTATATACCCAAAGGATTATAAATCATGCTGCTATAAAGACACATGCACACGTATGTTTACTGTGGCACTATTCACAATAGCAAAGACTTGGAACCAATCCAAATGTCCAACAATGATAGACTGGATTAAGAAAATGTGGCACATATACACCATGGAATACTACGCAGCCATAAAAAATGATGAGTTCATGTCCTTTGTAGGGACATGGATGAAGCTGGAAACCATCATTCTCAGCAAACAATCACAAGGACAAAAAACCAAACACCGCATGTTCTCACTCATAGTGGGAATTGGACAATGAGAACACATGGACACAGGAAGGGGAACATCACTTTAAAAAAAAAACAATAATGCTGATCTTTTAAAATGAGTTTGGAAATACTCTTTCTCCTTCAAGTTTTTGGAAGAATTTCAGAAGGATTGTATTATTATTTTTTAAAATGTTAGAATTCAGCAATGAGGTTTTCTGGTCCTGGGATGTTCTTTGATGGGAGATGTTTTATTATTGATATACTCTCCATACTCAGTATTGTTCTGTTCAGATTTTATCTTTCTTCTTGACTTTCTCTAGGTAAGTTGCATTTTTCTAGAAATTTATCTGCTTTTTCTAGGTTATCCAATTTGTTGGCTTGTAATTGTTTATAGTGGCCTCTTATGATCCTCTGTATTTCTGTGGTATTAGTTGCAATATTTCCTCTTTCATTTCTGATTTTATTGCTTTGAGTATTCTCTCATTTTTCTAGTCTAGCTAATGGTTTGTCAGTTTTATCTTTTCAAAGAACAAATTCTTAGTTTCATTGATCTGTTCTATTTTCTTTCACAGTCTTTTTTGTATTTGAAGGACTTGTATTTGTTAACTGGCTCAAGCCTGGACATTTGTTGAGGTGCTATGAGTCTCTATTGCTCTCATTTCTCTTCACTAGACATAGAAATTTTCTGATTACACGAATCAAATAAGACTAATAAGCTTCCCAGGGATGAATCCCACTTAAGCATGGCGAATTTTTTTGCTGTGTTTTTTTAAAAATAATATTTGCTAATATTTGGCTGAAGGTTTTTCCATCCAAGTTCATCAGGAGTATTGGTCTGCCATTTATTTTTATTATAGTGTCCTTCTCTGGTTTTGGTATCAGGGTAATGCTGGTTTTGAAAAATGAATTTGGAAGTATTCCTCTTCTTCATTTTTTTTGGAAGAGTTTGGGAAGGATTGGTGTTAGTCATCTAAGTGTTTGTTGGAATTCAGCCACCAAGCCATTCAATCCTGGGTCTTTCTTTTATGAGAGAACTTTCATTGGTGATTTAATTTCCTTATTCATGATTTCTTCTAAATTTTGAATTCTTCATGATTCAGTTTTGGTACGAGTTTATCAATTTCTTCTAGGTTATCTAATTTGCTGGTGAATAATTGTTTATAGTAGTATGTTATGATTTTTTAACTTCTGTGGTATCAGTTGTAATGTCTCTTCTTTCACTTCTGAGTTTGTTTTCTTTTTTCTTAGTCTATGTAAGAATTTGTTAATTTTGTTTATCTTTTCAAAAAACAATTCTTATTTTTATTGAAATTTTCAGTTTCTATTATATTATTTCTGCTCTGATCTTTGTTATTTGTTTCCTTCTGCTATCTTTGGGCTTGTATTGTTCTCTAATTTTCTCGCTCCTTTAGGCATAATATTAGGTTGCTTATTTGAGATCTTTTTTTTCTTTTTTGATGTAGGCATTTATTGCTATAAATGTCCCTCTTATAACTGCTTTTGTTGCATCCCATATGTTTTAGTATGTTATGTTTCCATTTTCATGCTACCTGATTTTAGAATATATTTCAAAGCATGGTGTATAGTGCTTTTAAAAAGAGGCTATATATAGGTATATATAAAAACAATACACACATTATATATAAACTATGACATGCTTGTAAAGAAAAGAGAACATAAAGTTTCTGAGGAAATAATTAGAAGAACAAGAGGATGCAAAGGGGTCTGTCAAAGATTCAGTGAAATGAGGGTTTTTGGATATTCACAGCTAATAGATTAATGCATTAGGAATGAGCAAAAAAATTGATGGTAGTCAAACAGAGGGAGGGAGGTAGATTTTGAATGATTCAAAGCAGGAGTGTTTTGAAGATAAACAGAATAACTAAAAAGAAAGACTCAGATGAAAAGCCTAGATTTAAAGCATTTGAATCAAGAGGTGGTAATCTAGGAATTAGGTTGATTTCTTTTTTTTTAAATTTGTGTAGCTTTTTATTTTATTTTTTATTGTACTTTAAGTTTTAGGGTACATGTGCACAAAGTGCAGGTTTGTTACATATGTATACATGTGCCATGTTGGTGTGCTGCACCCAGAAGACTGGTTAATTTCAATAACCTAAAAATCCACAAGGTGGGAGTGTTTCACTGAAGCCAGTTGTTAGAGAAACGTTAGAACCAACTTCCTTTTTTTCTGTCCCTTCTTCTCTGCTTTCTTCTTTTCTCCTCCTCCTCCTCCTCCCTTTACTCTCCTTCTTCTCTCTCTTTCTAATCATGAAAACAAACGAAAAAAACTATGAGCAAGAGCACAGAAAAAAGACTAGCAAAGACTGCAGTTATTGAAAGTATCAGATACAGAAAATAAAATAAAATAACTATATTTAGTATGTTTAAAGTAAAACAAAAAATTAAAAATATCATAATGGAACAGGAAACTCTAGAGAATGGCCAAGAAGATTAAAAGAAAACAAATAGAATGTCCATAGAGAATAACATAATTGAAATTTAAACCCAAATGAATGGTTTTAACAGAATATTAGTATGTTAGAAGCAGTTGAAGAGTGAACTAGTAAACTGTAATATAGGTCAGAAGGGGCTATCCAAAATGAACACAGGAATAAAGACATGGAAAATAAGAAACATGTAGTTAGGAGACATGGAAGACAGAGGGGGAAATGCTAAAAAGTTTTAAAGAGTGTTTCAGAAGGAGAGAAAGGAGATCATGAATCAGTGTATATATTTTTTTAATTTTATTTTATGTTCTGGGATACACGTGCAGAAAGTATAGGTTTGATACATAGGTAAATGTGTGCCATGGTGGTTTGCTGCACCCATCAACCCATCACCTAGGTATGAGGCCCTGCATGCATTAGCTATTTGTCCTGATGGTCTCCTACCCCCCGTCCCCCTGAGAGGCCCTGGTGTGTGTTGTTCCCCTCCATGTACCCACGTGTTTGTCCTGATGGTCTCCTACCCCCTGTCCCCCTGAGAGGCCCTGGTGTGTGTTGTTCCCCTCCATGTACCCACGTGTTTGTCCTGATGGTCTCCTACCCCTGTCCCGCTGAGAGGCCCTGGTGTGTGCTGTTCCCCTCCATGTATCCACGTGTTTGTACTGATGGTCTCCTACCCCCTGTCCCCCTGAGAGGCCCTGGTGTGTGTTGTTGCCCTCCATGTACCCACGTGTTTGTCCTGATGGTCTCCTACCCCTGTCCCCCTGAGAGGCCCTGGTGTGTGTTGTTCCCCTCCATGTACCCACGTGTTTGTCCTGATGGTCTCCTACCCCCTGTCCCCCTGAGAGGCCCTGGTGTGTGTTGTTCCCCTCCATGTACCCACGTGTTTGTCCTGATGGTCTCCTACCCCCTGTCCCGCTGAGAGGCCCTGGTGTGTGTTGTTCCCCTCCATGTATCCACGTGTTTGTCCTGATGGTCTCCTACCCCCTGTCCCGCTGAGAGGCCCTGGTGTGTGTTGTTCCCCTCCATGTACCCACGTGTTTGTCCTGATGGTCTCCTACCCCCCGTCCCCCTGAGAGGCCCTGGTGTGTGTTGTTCCCCTCCATGTACTCACGTGTTTGTCCTGATGGTCTCCTACCCCCCGTCCCCCTGAGAGGCCCTGGTGTGTGTTGTTCCCCTCCATGTACCCACGTGTTTGTCCTGATGGTCTCCTACCCCCCGTCCCCCTGAGAGGCCCTGGTGTGTGTTGTTCCCCTCCATGTACTCACGTGTTTGTCCTGATGGTCTCCTACCCCTGTCCCCCTGAGAGGCCCTGGTGTGTGTTGTTCCCCTCCATGTACCCACGTGTTTGTCCTGATGGTCTCCTACCCCCCGTCCCCCTGAGAGGCCCTGGTGTGTGTTGTTCCCCTCCATGTACTCACGTGTTTGTCCTGATGGTCTCCTACCCCCTGTCCCCCTGAGAGGCCCTGGTGTGTGTTGTTCCCCTCCATGTATCCACGTGTTTGTCCTGATGGTCTCCTACCCCCTGTCCCCCTGAGAGGCCCTGGTGTGTGTTGTTCCCCTCCATGTATCCACGTGTTTGTCCTGATGGTCTCCTACCCCTGTCCCCCTGAGAGGCCCTGGTGTGTGTTGTTCCCCTCCATGTATCCACGTGTTTGTCCTGATGGTCTCCTACCCCCTGTCCCCCTGAGAGGCCCTGGTGTGTGTTGTTCCCCTCCATGTATCCACGTGTTTGTCCTGATGGTCTCCTACCCCCTGTCCCCCTGAGAGGCCCTGGTGTGTGTTGTTCCCCTCCATGTATCCACGTGTTTGTCCTGATGGTCTCCTACCCCTGTCCCCCTGAGAGGCCCTGGTGTGTGTGTTCCCCTCCATGTATCCATGTGTTTGTCCTGATGGTCTCCTACCCCTGTCCCCCTGAGAGGCCCTGGTGTGTGTTGTTCCCCTCCATGTATCCACGTGTTTGTCCTGATGGTCTCCTACCCCCTGTCCCCCTGAGAGGCCCTGGTGTGTGTTGTTCCCCTCCATGTATCCATGTGTTTGCTCTCATTGTTCAACTCCCTCTTACGACTGAGAACATGTGGTGTTTGGTTTTCTGTTCCTGTGTTAGTTTGCTGAGGGTGATGGCTTCCAGCTTCATCCATGTCCCTGCAAAGAACATGATCTCATTTATTTTAACGGCTGCATAGTATTCCATGGTGAATATATATCACATTTTCTTTATCCAATATATCATTGATGGGCATTTGGGTTGATTCCATGTATTTTCTATCGTAAATAGTGCTGCAATAAACATATGTGTGCATGTATATGTATGTGTGTGTGTATATATATGTAGTTATAATATGTATATATATGTGTATATATATGTGTGTATATATATACACATATATATACATTTACATATATAATATCTGTATATATGTATATATATGTGTATATATATGTATGTATATGTATATATATATATTTTTTTGAGATGGAGTTTTGCTCTTGTTGCCCAGGCTGGAGTGCAATGGTATGATCTTGGCTCACTTTGACCTCTGCCTCCTGGGTTCCAGCGATTCTCCTGCCTCAGCCTCCAAAGTAGCTGGTATTACAGGTGTGCACCACTATACCTGGCTAATTTTTGTATTTTTAGTAGAGATGGAGTTTCCCCATGTTGGCTAGGCTGGTCTCAAACTCCTGTGCTCAGGTGATCCACCCGCCTTGGCCTCCCAAAGTGCTGGGATTACAGGTGTGAGCCACTGCACCCAGCCCTGTGCATGTATCTTTATAATAGAGTGATTTATATTCCTTTGGGCATATATCCAGTAAAGGGATTGCTGGGGCAAATGGCATTTCTGGTTCTAGATCTTTGAGGAATTTTCACACTGCCTTCCACAGTGAATGAACTAATTTACGTTCCCACAAACAGTGTAAAAACATTCCTATTTCTCCACAGCCTTACCAGCAACTGTTGTTTCTGGAGTTTTTGATAATCACCATTAAGACTGGTTTGAGATAGTATCTCATTGTGGTTTTGAGTTGCATTTCTCTAATGATCAGTGATTTGAGCTTTTTTTCATATGTTTGTTGGCCACATCCATGTCTTCTTTTGAGAATTGTCTGTTCATGTCCTTTGGCCAATTTTTGATGGTTTTTTTTTTTCTTGTAAATTTAAGTTCTCCATAGGAGCAGGTGCTCTAATTGCTTGGAGGTCTGCCTATGTGTGGAGATGAGAGGGCCTCACTGCACTATAATCTCAGCACAGGAAGGTTGGGGAAGCTCAGGCTGCTGATCCAGTCAAGTGGGTACTCCACATACCTGGAAATCTGCCTGGCCATAGACTGGAGAGGGCCCCACTGCACCACAACCTATGTTTACAAACGGTGGGGTAGCTCAGGATGCTGGTCCAGGTAGACAGGTGCTCCAATGCCTGAATTTCTGCCTGGGGGTGAAGCAGAGAAAGCCCTGCTGTATCACATTCTCAGGGGAACAGGCTGGGGCACCCAGCAATGACACCTGCAGACTGGTTGTAGGTCTCCAAGCTGGCCCTGGCTGCAAGTTTCATCACCTGGGAGAAATTACAGCTGTAGCAGCTTTTCTGTTGCCCCGAGGCTGCGATGGGGGAAAGCACAATTCCAGCACATACTGCTGAGGTGTTTTCCACAATATGGCTGTGAAGGTCCCTACCAAGCCCCAAAGCAGTTGTTCCAATCTTTGGCCTGAGACTAAAATGCCTGTGCAGGCATTCTGCTGGGTCACAAAAAGAAAAAAAAAAGCTGACTTTTCATGCATCCAGATTGAAAATGGCATCTTGCTCTTACTTCCTGGTCTGGGAAAATGTCTGCAGCTGTTCCCAGTGTCTTTGCTTCACAGCATCTCCAAGCCTCTCCCCATGTTGACTCCAGGCCTTGGGAGAAACAAAATGCAACAACTTGGCTGGGGTTGCTCAGATTCACAGTGAAAATGTCAGTTACAGAGGGAGGCTCTCTGCCTCTCTCACATACTAGGACTTCGCTCACTTTTATAAGCTGGTTGCTGTCATGTTGACTGTTTGCTCACATTCTCCTTCTTGGGATCTATGATGTCCTTCATGATTCTGGTGGATTCCCATTTTCCTTCTTGACTTAGAGCTCACAGAGTTGACCTTTGTGCACTCTCTTGCTATTTCTAAGTGGCCGAGGCACACTAAAAGCCTCTAATTTATCATCTTGGGAAAAAAACAAAACAGGGAAGTTTGCTTTTGCAAATTGTTGTTTGTGGGGGTCTGTCCTGCAGACCCCAGCTGCACGAGGGATGAATAATGTACTCAGACACCAATTATTCAGTGAAAGAGCCGCTAGGGGGCTGGGCCATGCACAGAAAGAGTTCTGGCAGCCACGAGCCCTGACTAGCTAGCCCTGCCAGCATTTATTGAAAAAACATTAAATGACAGGGGCTTTTAGTCAACACAAATAGAGGGTAATTAACCTGGTCACCCTCCCCCGAGAGAGAGCCATCCTGCCTGTGAATGATCAAAGGTTGGCTTCAGGACCACATGAGTAAACAAGTTATTTAGATAAACTCCCTTACATTCCTTTGCACCTACTTTAAGCTATTTACTCAAGGAAGGATTAGGCCGCCTTCATTCAGATCTATTACTGAAGCTATACAACACCCCCAGCCTTCCATGAAGGTTTGTGTCGATTTCTTATAACTATCTTTAAAATTTTTCCCACCAGCCTGACTGAACTCCCACAGTTGTTGCTACTTTTTGAAATTGAAATACTTCTAGGAAGACTGATTAAGAACAATATAGAGAAAAGACATATTTTTCAAACTCCTGATGAAGAAGAAACATCCGTATTAATATATAGCTAATAAAAAGATAAGAGATGTTGTGGAAAACTTCATACAAGGGTGCCCACTCTCAGAACTTCTATTCAACATAGTACTGGATGTCCTAGCCAGAGCAATTAGGCAAAAGAAAGAAATAAAAGGCATGAAAATTGGAAAGGAAGAAGTTAAATTGTTTCTGTTTGCAGTTGACATGATCTTATATATAGAAAACACCAATAACTCTGCCAAAAAATTTAGAATTCATAAATGAATTTAGTAAAGTTGCAGGATACAATGTGAACATACAAAATTCGGTAGCATTTCTACACATCAACAACAAACTATACAAAAAAAGAAATCAAGAAAACAATCCTATTTATAATAGCAACAAAAAATACTTAGATGTAAATTTAAACAAAGAGGTGAATGATCTTTACACTGAAAACTACAAAACATTGATGAAAACAATTGAAGAAGCCACAAATAAATGGAAAGATATCTCATGTTCATGGATTGGAAAAAGTAATATGTTTGAAATGTCCATACTATCCAAAGTGATGTACATATTGAATGCAATCTCTATCAAAATTCCTATGACATTTTCCCACAGAAATAGAAAAACAACTCTCAAATCTGTATGGAATCACAAAAAACTCTGAAAAGCCAAAATAATCTTGATCGAAAAAAGCAAGGCAGGAGATATCACATTACCTGACTTCAAATTATACTACATAGCTATAGCAATCGAAACACCATGGTACTGGCATAAACGCAGACACATAGACCAATTACACAGAATAAAGAGCCCATAAATAAATCTACATATTATAGTCAATTGACTTTCAACAAAGGTGCCAGGAACACACATGGGGAAAGAACAGTCTCTTCAAAAAATGGTGTTGAGAAAACTGAATGTCCACAAGATTGATCTTAGGCCCTTATTTCATACCATATAAAAATATAAATTCAAAATAAGTTAGACTTAAATGTAAGACCTAGCACTATAGAACTCCTAGAAGAAAACAGGGGAATAACTCCAAGACATTGGTCTGGGCAATAATATTTTATGATATGACTCTAAAGCACAGGCAAGAAAAGCAACAAAACACAAATGGAATAGCATCAACCTAAAAAGCTTCTGCACAGCAAAAGAAAGTCAACAGAGTGAAGTGATAACCTACAAAATGGGAGAAATTATCTGCAAACTATACATTTGATAAGAGGCTAATGTCCAAAATATCTTAGGAACTCAAACAACACAATAATAAGAAAACAAGGAACCCTAATGAAAAATTGACAAAGGATCTAAATAGACATTTCTCAAAAGAAGACATACAAATGGCCAACAGATATATAAAAATGCTAATTATCACTGATCATCAGAGAAATGCATATTAAAACTACAATAAAATGCCATTTCACATCCGTTAGAATGGCTGTTACAGAAAAGGCAGAAGATACCAAGTGTTGGAGAGGATGTGGAGAAAAGGAAAACCTTGTAATTGTTGAGAATGTAAACTATTTCAGCCATTGTAAAAGACAGTATAAATGATTCTGTAAAAATAGAATTACCATATGATTCAGTAATGCTATTTCTGGGCATATATTAAAAAGATATCAAATCAGTGTGTCAATGAGTTATCTGTACTCCCATATTTATTGTAGCATTATTCACAACAGCCAAGATGTGGAATTAACTTAAGTATCCATCGACACATGAGTGGATGAAGAAAATGTGGCACACATACACAATAGAATAGTATACAACCTTAAAAAATAAAAAAAGTATCATTTGTGACAACATGAATGAACCGGGAGGACATTATACTGAGTAAAATAATCCAGGCACAGAAAGCCAGATACTGCATAATCTCACTTGTATGTGGAGGTCTAAGAAGGCTGAACACATAGAAGTACAGAGTAGAATGATGGTTACCAGGAGGATTGGGTAGATGTTGGTCAAAGGGTACAAAATTGCATTGTACAGGAGGAATGAATTCAACAGATCTATTGTGCAATATGGTGACTATAGTGGATAACAATGTATTGTTTTTAAATTTAATTTTTGTGGGTACATAGCAGGTGTACACATTTATGGGGTACATGAAATATTTTGGTACAGGCATGCAATGTACAATAAGTACATAATGGAAAATTGGATATTCATCCCCTCAAGCATTTATTATTTGTGTTATAAACAATCCAATTATACTCTTTCAGTTATTTTTAAATGTATAATTGAATTTTAGACTGCAATCCCCCTGTTGTGCTATCAAATACTAGGTCTTATTAAATCTTTCTTTTTTTGTACCCATTAGCCATCCCCCACCTCTCCCAACCCCCACTACCCTTCACAGCCTCTGGTATACTTCCTTCTACTCTCTATCTCCATGAGTTCAGTTGTTTGCTTTTTGGATTCCACATATAAGTGATAACACATAGTATTTGTCTTTTTGTGCCTGGCTTATTTCACTTAACATAATGACCTCCAGTTTCATCTATGTTGTTGCAAATGACAGGGTCTCATTCCTTTTTATGGCTGAATAATACTTCATTGTATATAAGTACCACATTTTCTTTATTCATTCATCTGTTGATGGACACTTAGGTTGACTCCATAACTTCGCTATTGAAAATAGTGCTGCAACAAATACGGGAGTGCAGATATCTCTTCGATATACTGATTTCTTTTTTGGGGGGTATATATGCAGCAGTGGGATTGCTGGACCACATGGTAGCTCTATTTTTACTTTTTTGAGGAGCCTTCAAACTGTTCTCCATAGGGGATGTACTTGTATTCTTCAAAATTGCTAAGAGTAGATTTTTAAGTGTTCTCATAAAAAAAGATAAGCATGTAAGGTAATGCATATGTTAGCTTAACATGGCTATTTTACAATGAATATATATTTCAAAACATATAATTTTATTTATCTGATAAAATAAATATAAAATATGAAACTTGATATTAATAAATTTGACAATCATAAGGAATGGTCAAGTTCCTATGAAAAATACCTACTTTTATGAAATGATCAGAAAAAAACTAGAAAAACTGAGTAGTTTTTTTTTCATTGTAGAAATTTTATTTAGAAAATTTTTTTTTCCTGTAGAAAGAACTCCAGGGCTAGGTGGATGCAATATTTAATAAAGAAATATTACCAAATATTTAATAAAGAAATAATGCCAATGTTACATGAATATTTTTAGAGAATTGGGAAGACATAACACTTTCCAACTTGTTTTATATGGTGGTACCTCCATGATAGTAAAACCATACAAGGATATTAAAAGAAATGAAATTACAGACTAATATACTACATAATAATTCTAAACAAAAATGTTTGCAAATATAATCCAACAATATACTCCAAAGAAAAATACATCGTGACTAAGTGCAGTAATTTCAAGAATGTATGGTTTAAAATTAGAAAACCAAACAATGAAATTAACCACATTAACTGAATAAAAGAAAAAAATATGGTTATTTCAATAGCTGTGGGAAAAGCACTTGTTCACATTTGAAACTATTTGTAATAATAACAAACTAGGAATAGAAGAGAACTGATGTAAATATCTTAATATATACACAAAAACTACTCTCAACATTATAAATAATCATGACATATTAAACAGTTTCATTCTAACACGAGGAACAAGGTACACATGTCCAGCTCAACACTTTATTCATCATTAAAATAATACTGTGCAGTAAAATTAACAAGGAAAATTTTAAAAAGAACACAAAAGAAAACTACAAATCCTTATCCCTGATCAACACAGATGTAAAAATACTCAACAAAATTCTAGCAAACTGAAGCTAACAACACATCAAAAAGATAATTCATCATGATCAAGTGGGCTTTATTCCAGGGGTGCTTGAATGGTTCAAAATAGACAAATCAATAAACATGATTCACCACATAAATGGAACTGAGAACAAAAACCCTATGATCATCTCATTAGATGCAGAATAAGCATTTGATAAAATCCAACATCTGTTTATGATAAAAACCCTCAACAATATAGGTATAGATGGAGTATACCTCAAAAAATGAGTCATCTATGACAAAGCCACAGCCAACATCATCCTGGATGGGCAAAAGTTAGAAGTGTTGCTTCTAGAAACTGGAAAAAAGCAAAGATGTTCACCTTCTTCATTCCTATTCAATACAGTACTGGAAGTGCTAGCCAGAACTATCAGAAAGGAGAAAGAAATAAAAGGTATACAAATTAGAAAAGAAGTCAAATGATCTCTGCTCACTGATGACATGACTGTAGGCCTAGAAAACCCTAAAGTCTTCAGAAGACTCCTAGACTTGATACACGACTTCAGTAAAGTCTTGGGATAAACAAGCCACAAAAATCAGTTGTATTTCTATACACCAAATACATTCAAGCTGTTTGAATGTTTGTTGAGATTAATTTGTTGAGAACCAAATTAAGAACTCAACTGAATTTACAATAGCCATGAAAAATACCTAGGAATGCATAACTATATAAATGAAAGATCTCTACAAAGAGAACTACAAAATACTAATGAAAGAAATTATAGATGACATAAACAAATGGAAAAACATCCCATGCTCATGGATTAGAAAAATCAATAGCTAAAGTGACCATATCACCCATACAATCTATAGAGTTAATGCAATTCCCATCAAATTACCAACGTTATTTCTCACAAAATTAAAAAAAAATCCTAAAGTTCACATGGAGCCAAAAAAAGATCCCTAATAGCCAAAGCACTTCTAAGCAAAAAACAAAGCAAAACAAAACAAAGCCCCCAGAGCAAAAGACAAATATGGTTCCTACAAATGAAGACCAACGGTAATGCTTATCTGTTCGTGGTAGAAGTGTAAATTGGTAGGATTGTTAAAAAAAATAGTGTAGCATCTCATGGTAATGTTGAATAACTCAATAATTTTACTTTTAAATATATACCCCAGAGGATATCTTGCACATATGAACCAGGTGATTTACAAAAGAATGTTCATAGCAGCATTGTTTGTAATGGTTAAAAACTGGAAAAATTTCAAGTGTTCATCAACAATAGATCTGAGGAATGAAGTCCGACATATTCATGTAGTGGAATATCATATAGCAATACGAATGGATGAATTACACCAACATTCAACAAGGTTGTAATATGCAAACTTATTATTGAATCAAGGTGAAAGTACCTTCTGATAAAGGTGAAAGAACTTCTACAAAATAATTTCATTTATATAAGTTTCAAAGAACCAAACTAAATAATGCATCACTTGAGAACCATTAAAGTCTATTAAAAAACACATACAATGCAATGGAAGGACAGTGGTCATATCCAGCAGGAAATAAAGGAGAACACAATTGGCAAGGAGCACCCAATGGGCGTCTAAGGCACTAGTAAAGTTCTATTTTGTTTCCAATCCTCCAAGACATCTAGTTTTTTTTATTTTTCTGAGACATGGTGGCCCAGGCTGGAGTACGATAGTGTGATCTTGGCTCACTGCAACCTGTGTCCTGGGCTTAAGTGATCCTCCCACCTCGGCCTCCCAAAGTACTGGGATTACAGGTGTGAGCCACCATGGCCGGCAAATGTTCTATTTCATATCCTGTATGGTGGACACATAGATGTTCTCTTTTTTATTATTCCTTGAACACTAAGTATATGTTTATTTATATTCTCTGTGGAATACCTCCTTATTTCTCAGTCAATTCAGGATACCTCCTTACCCCCATCCCCTTTTTACTTTTCGTCATGTCATATAGTTTCTGAAATATAGAAAAGCTTACATATTATCCTGTCATCAAAGCGGCATGGAGGCATTTGGTAGAATAAATATTATTTGTTGATTATTCATCCTTTCCTTTCACTTTACAGAGTCAATCAAACACTAGGTCATGTTAATTTTACTGTCACGCACATATCTTGAATTTGCCTCCTTATCTCTATTTCCACTATTCAGTTCAGACCTTGATAATCACTCATCTGCATTGTAGTTGCATTTTTCTAATTATTCTGTTTCTAGTCTTGTTTTAAAATCTTTTTTTCCTCCCACAATGCAGCTAGAGTGGTCAATTTAAAGCATCATCTATCTCAAGAACAAAAAACCAAACACCGCATGTTTTCACTCATAGGTGGGACTTGAACAATGAGAACACTTGGACACAGGAAGGGGAATATCACACACCGCGGCCTGTTGTGGGGTTGGGGGAGGGGGGAGGGATAGCATTAGGAGACATACCTAATGTAAATGATGAGTTAATGGGTGCAGCACACCAACACGGCACATGTATACATATGTAACCTGCACGTTGTGCACATGTACCCTAGAACTTAAAGTATAATAAAAATAAATATTAAAAAAAGAAGCATCATCTTTATTAAAACATTTAATGGTCCTACTATTCCTTATGCTATAAATTTCTTATAATTTAATAAATATTTTTCCATAATTGTGACTCTCTTCTATAGCTCTTGTTACTCCCGATATTCTTCTAATTATCAGGCAGTAGCACAAAGCTGCTTACACCTCTTTACACATCTCTTTATTTTAGGCCTCCTTGCATTTGCTCATGCTGTTCCTTTTTGTTTGAAAAACTTACACATTTCTTCATTTGGTTAATCCTTGCACACTTTCAAGATTCATTTGAGGCCTCATTGACTTTGGAAACCTTCCCTGTAATCTTGTATTATTAATTTATCTTAGTTTTCACTTATTAGCTCTTATTAGATTACTGTCCTTACGTGTGTAACTCTCCCACTAGACAGTAAGCTTTTGGACGGCAGAGATGATGTCTCATTCATCTTTGCATCTTTAGCGCCCAGCCTGGTTTCTGGTTTCCTATAGTCACTCAGTGTTGAGCTAAACCATATTTTTGGAGCAATGACTTGACAATGCAGTATCATGATGGAACTATCACAGATGGACAGAATGAGTCTCTTGATTCCTACATTTATTTTTCTATTGATATAGCTGATTTAAAAAGAAACCTGTTAATTATATAATCATGTAATTACCCTGACATAACATCAAACTCCATAAATTACTTTCCATCTCTGCCTCTCTCTCTTTCTATATATATAACATATACATGTTACAAAAATGCACAGGGAATAAATATGAGCAAAATGGTAAGAAGTGCAGGTCCTAGGTCAGATTTCTTGCATTTAGTTGCAGGCTACACCAACTTTAGAGAAAAGATTTAGTGAAAAATAAAAATGAATCATTAATACACCACTTGGCACAGATAAGTTATTCAGTAAACATTAACATATTTGCATTTATGTTTAACCATGGGCTTAAGTGATTATCCAGAAATCTCCCTCTCTTTGACTATGTTTGAATATTAGATACTTCTTAATTTATCTTTGCTCTGAATTTGTTTTTTTTCACTCGTTGTATACTCATGGACCATTTTATGTGTTTCAGGAATTGATATTTTATTTAAAAACTGTTACTATAGAAAATTAACTTTTGGATAGTCCTGTTCAGACTAAAACTATCATTTGTAAGATCTGTATTACTGCAATCATTGGTGTTAATACTTTGCATTAATTAAAATTTTTTATGGACATATAATAAGTATTTCTCCCACCTTGATTTTTGTGGCTATCATTTTATTCATTCCATTGCTTTTTTCTCCCAGTTTGCTATGAGGAAGTTGATAAGTACGTAGGCAAAACGATAGATTGTTTTGGCAGCTTCAGTGTATTTAAGTGCCTGTGATGAGGCTATGGTTTATTTTTCTAATGTAGAATTCATAATGTAGAATAAATTTTAAAAACATAAATTTTATTCCTGCACATTGTGCACATGTACCCTAGAACTTAAAGTATGATAAAAATATACATATATAACAAATTAAAAACATAAATTTCTTTGCACAGCTTTTTCTTTCTGCTATTTTTATTCAATGATTATTTGCTTCCCTTGTTATTTAAGAGCTGACTTTTGGCTTCATGGCCAAAAATAAAATTCTTAGTAGGAGAAAGTAAATGTGATTTACTGATGAAGATGCCACCCCCAAGTGACCCATTAACCACTTTCCCTGCGTTACCCTGGGACAACCAAAGTGATTCCAGGAGACAATTCCCATGACAAGTGATTTCTGGCTGGCAATGCCAGGTCTCTGAAGTTCCACTTGGCCACTGCCCAAGAACAATTAGTGCCGTTAGTTAACTACCTTTACTATGACAGCATTTTGTGTAACTCTTTGCACAGGGGAGTTTTATGCAACAGACAGAAACTTTCTGAGTTGTTCTGATTGCCTGAAGATGCCCTGTTTTAGAGGAGCAAAATTTTCCCTGTTTACTGTGTTTCAGTGTTAAAAATATGAATGCATTGTCAGGATTAGCTCTGGCAATGGTAGTTAAATGCAGATATCCAGACAAAGGAGGTTATAGATTGGAGACTTTGTGCTACTTGATAATGAAGCCTTGGTTTTGATTTTATGTATTTTTAAGTTGAAAAACAAAACACACACACACAATACAAAACATGGCACAAAACAAACTTATAGTTTGATTTTTGTAAACATCCCTGTAATCATCACATAAGTCAAGATATAGGACTTTGCCAGCCCTGAAGTCCTGCATGTGACTCTCCTCAGTTGCAGCCACCTTTCTCCTGAAAAGTGACGATAAACGTGACTGTTCCAGTAGAGGCGTCCTTGCATTTTCACGGCTGTGTCCTTCATGCATGCATTCCAAGACACTATGATTTAGTCTTGCGCATTTGTTTTCATTTGTCGTGTTTTTAAAATCCCTTCTAACATACAGGTTTCTTTTCAAAGTTTTCTTTCCCATACAATATATTTGTTGAAAAATGTGGGATTTTTGTCACTTGATGTCCACACTGTGAAATTTGCTGGTGAGACTCTCAGTGAAGATCGACATTTTCACTATCCTTTGCGTTTTATCCAAATGACAGTTGAATCCAGAGGTTTGACTAGGACACGTGCTTGGTTCTATTTTTGGTAAGATTGTTGGTGATGGTGTGTTCATTCACCAGGAGGTTTAATTATGGCTTTTATCTTAGCACCTACTACTACTTTCTACTAACACCTGTTAATACAAAGAAAGTTAATATTTTCTACTAGCACCTGTTAATCCTCAATATGTATAGATAGGATATGTATAGACACACGTGTGTCTATGCATATAATATATAATATGTACATATTATATTTTTTTAAGAGAAGGAAAGAGCATGTGAGAGAGCACATTGCATATTTATGTTGATAATACTGATTCTAATGTAACTCAGTGGGCTGCTTCTTTCCTTGTCTTATTCCATATCTGTATCTCTGTCCTTTCACAGTGAGAATCTGGGGTTCTAGCAATACAAATATATTAATATTTACTCATTGGCTTAATCTTACAATGCACATACATTTGTTTCAGAATTGTTATATTTATACTAATATAAAAAGAAAAAATCCTATCATGAAGATTTAATAATTTTTTGCAGATATTTTATTTTTTCAAGCAATAGTATGTAGTCAAAGTATGTTCAAAAGTCAATTTGAAATAAGAGAACAGTCAAAAATTAATCAGATTAATTATTATTTTCCCCTTAAGTTTGATTATGTCATTCATTCATTTGAAATATATTTGGATTCACTTGTTTCTCATTGCATTCGGTTTTAGAGTCTTGTAATAACTTATCTTTGCTTGCTTAATATCACACTTTGAGAGTGTAAAAGATTAACTTAATTAAAAATGTACAATTATGCACAAAAGCATTCACAGAGCAATATCCCATTCTCCCATATTTCTTTCACCAAATTCCCCTCTAATTCTTTATAGATAATACATGTTTTCAGATTCTGGTACATTTTGGCTACATTTGTTTGTTTCATGCTTGTATTTTTGGTGTATTATCTAAGAATGCATTGCCAATCCACAGCAATGTTTTATTTCCATGTTTTCTTCTAAGCATGTATGGTTTTCACTCGTATATTTACATTATTGATCCAATCTAGATTTTGTATATAATGTGAGGTAGGGGTCCAGCTTCATTTTTTTTTCATATGAATATTCAGTATTCCCAGCACTTTTTGTTGAAAAAGCTATTATTCCCCACTGAATAATGTTGGCTCCCTTGTAAAAAAAAGTCAGCTGAATAGAGATGTTTTGCTTAGTCTATGTAAAAGTATATTAATTTTATTGATATTTTAAAAGAACCAACTTTTAGTTTTGTTGATCTCTGTATAATTTTTTAATTCTCAATTTCATTTATCTCTGCTCTAATCTTTATTTCCTTCCTTCTGCTAGCTCTGGATTTTGTTTGCTCTTCCTTTTATGGTTTATTGAGTAAAGTTTGGTTATTGATTTGACATGTTTCTTTTTTAAAATGTAGGTGTTACAACTCTGAGCACTGCTTTTGATATATCACACCCATCTTGTTATATCTTTGTTTTCAATCGTCTCTAAACATTTTCTAATTTCCCTCATGATTTGTTCTTTGATTCATTGGTTGGTAAATACTGTGTTGTTTAATTTCCAAATATTTGTAAATTTTCTAGTTTTTCTTTTGTTATTGATATCTTATTTCATTCCATTGTGGTCAGTGAAGATACTTTGCATGATTTCAATCTTTTTAAGTTTATTGAGCTTATCTTATGGCCTAACATATCATCTGTGCTGGAGAATGTTCCATGTTCACTTGAGAAGAATGTGTATTCTGCAGTTTTTGAGAGAAGTGTTATCTATAGTTATTGCTTATAGTTTTATTCAAATCCTCTAATTCCTCCCTTGATATTTGCTCTGGATGTTTTGTCCTTTATTAAAGTTGGGTTTTAAAATGCCCAACAATTTTCGTGGAATTGTCTGTCTCTCCCTTTAATTCTCTCAATGGTTACATTATATATTTTGGAGCCCTGTTAGTTGGTGTACATATATTTATAATTGTTATATCTTCTTGTTTAATTTTGAAATCAATATATACTGTTCTTTGTATTTTGTAACAGTTTTTGACTTAAAGTCTATTTTGTCTGATATAAGTATATTTGCCTCAGATCTCCTTTGGTTATTACTTACATGGAATATTTTCTCCCATCCTTTCATTTCAACTCATTGTGTATTTTGATCTAAAGTGAGTATCTTGTGGACAATATAGTTGGATCATTTTTTAAAAATCCATTCTGTCAATCTCTTTCTTTGGATTGGAGAGTTTAATTCATTTGTATTTAATGTAATTACTGATAAAGAGGGGCTTACTCCTACCATTTTGCTTTTGTTTTCTGTATGTCTTATACCTCCTTTGTTCCTAATTTCCTCAATTATCGCCTTCTTTTGTGTTTAGTTGCTATTTTGTAGCATATCACTGTGTTTACCCTCTGCTTTCCTTTTCTGTATTTTCAAAAGATATTAACTTAGTGGTTACCATGGGGATTTACAATTAACATTCTTAATTTGGAACAATTTAGAGTAAATTGAAACAACTTCAATAGTATACAAAATCTCTATTATTATTTAGTTTCCTATGAATTTCTTTATGTTGGTAATTTCACAAACCACATCTTTATACATCATGCTTCATTAACATAGATTTATAGTCATTATTTTACACATTTGTTTTAAAACATATAGAATATTTAAAAAGACTTACAAAAAATATGATAATTCCTTTTATATTTACCTATGTAGTTATCCTTACTGGAGTTATTTCTTTATGTGGTTTTGAGTTACTTTCTAGTGTTTTTTAGTTTGTATCTGAAGGAGTCTTTTTTTTTTTAAAGTGTATCTTGAAGTACAGCCTACCAAACATGAACTTTTAAAGCTTGCTTGCTTTTCTTTCTTTCTTTTCTTTCTTTCTCTTTCTTTCTTTCTTTCTTTCTTTCTTTCTTTCTTTCTTTCTTTCTTTCTCTTTCTTTCTTTCTTTCTTTCTTTCTTTTTCTTTCTCTCCCTTTCTTTCTCTCTCTTCTTTCTTTCTTTCTTTTTCTTTCTCTCCCTTTCTTTCTCTCTCTTCTTTCTTTCTTTCTCTTTCTCTCTCTCTTTTTTTTTTTAATCTGGGAATGTGTAATTTATCCTTAATACTTGAAGGGGCATCTTCCAAGTTACAGAATTTTTGGTTGACAGTGTTTTTTTCTTTCAGAACTTTAAAATGTCATTCTAAGCTCTTCTGGCACCCATGGTTTATCATGAGCTCTCTGCTGTCAAACTTACTGAGGATCCTTTGTAAATGATGCATTGCCTTTTTCCTAAGCTCTTCTGGCATCCATGGATTATAATGCACTATCTGCTGTCAAACTTATTGAGGATCCTTTGTAAATGACGCGTTGCCTTTCTCTTGCTGCTTTCAAACATTCGCTTTGCCTTTTGACAATTTGAAACATAGTGTGTCTTGGTGTGAATATCTTTGTATATTTCCTTGATGAAGTTCACTGAGCTTTTTGAATGTATATATTTGTTTTTAGTGAAATTTGGGAAGCTTTCAAACACATTTCTTCAAATAGTCTTCCTGCCCCTCACTCCCCACCAGGATTCTGTATGTAGGCATTCTTGATGTTGTTACACAGGTCTTTAGGCTCTATTCTTTTTTGTTGTCATTCTTTCATTTTCCTGCTCTTCAGACTGAATCATTTCACTTGATCTATCAAGTTCACTGATTCTTTTTTCCAGCTGCTCAAATCTTCTATTGGAACCCTAAGTAAAAAGTAACTTTTTAATTAGTTATTGTACTTTTCAGCCTCAGAATTTTTTTGTACCTTTTAAAAAATTCATATTTCTTATTTATTTATATGTCATTCTCTTGGGTTTCTTTAGCTCTTTAAGTTTATTTAAGACAGTTATATAAAGTTTTTGTCTAATATTTCCAATATCTGCTTACTCAGGGAGAGTCTCATTTATTTCTTCTGTAAATGGGCCATAGTTTTGTGTTTATTTGCATGCTTCTTAATTTTTGTTGAAAACTGGACATTTTGGATATTATAATGTGTTTATTCTGGAAACCAAATTTTTCCCTTCTTCAAGGTTATTTTTGTTACCCACTGTGGGATGTAGTTTTTATTTGTTTAGTAACTTTTGTAAACTGGTTTTGTAATATCTGCATTCTTTTTTATGTTTGATGTTTGAAGGCGGCTCGGTTCCTTTAGCTTGTGTTCATTTAGCATTTAGTGATTTAAAAATGATTTCCTTGACTGCAAGTAGCCAAAAAAGAAAAAAATATGAAAAACATCTCCCAGACTTTGCTTACTGACTCTGTATTGGGGCTCCCTCAACACTTAGCGGAGCCATGTATAATTCTGCCTTAGCCTTCATTTTTTCTTGCTGTGAGCCTAGGAATTACTAAAGGTGAGTTATTAGTGTCTTCTCAGGCCTTTTCTGAGCATGTGTCCCACCTTGGCCATGCTTATGGATTTCCAAATTTTTCATTGTATGTAAGCACTTTTGAGTATTCGAATTTCCCAAAGGAACTTTCTCTCCTGCTTTTTCCTCAAGTTTTCAGTACAGTATATCTTGCCTCAATTGTAATATTTTGCCGCAAATGGCTGAGGGTTGTTAATTTGCCTTTGGACGATCTGATTTCTAAAGGTTTGGTGGAATTCTCCATGAAAACATCTAAACCTAGTGTTTGTGTGTGTGTTATAATTCCATGACAACTGTATTTCTCTATGGAAATTGCTCACATAAGTGCTGTACTTCTTTTTTTTTTTTTTGAAGTCAGTTGTGGTGAATTGTATTTTTCTAGAAAATTACCCATTCCCTCTAGCTTTCAATGTTTTTCATAGATGTGAACAACATTGTTTTTAATGATTTTTTATTTGCTGATTATCAATAGTTATTTCTCTCACCATTCCTTATTCATTTTTGTGCTTTCTCTTTTTTTTTATTCATGATTAAAAGATCTAATTTTTTTGTCAACTTTGTTGATTTGTTTAAAGAACAAGATTTTTGGTTTACTGATTTGATCTGTTTTTTGGCTTCTTATTTTATTAATTTTCACTTTTTTCTACTTTGGGTTCTTTCTTGTACTTTCTGCTTACTCTTTTAGATACTTTTTACATTTTTCAGCTGATAATTTAATTCCTACACTTTTATTAATAAATGTGTTAAGGCTATAGATTTTCCTCTGATCACTGCTTTAACTGTATCCCATATACAGATGCTCCTTGATGTATGATGAAGTTATGTCTCAACAAACCCCCGTAAACTGAAAATATCATAAGTTAAAAATGCATTTAGCACACCGAAAATTATAGGTTGGCCTAGCTTACTTTGAACATGCTCAGAACATTTAGATTAGACTTCAGTTGGTCAAAATAATCTAACAAAATGTCTAAATAAAGTATTGAATAACTGATATTTATTAAATATGGTACTGAAAATAAGAAACAGAATGGTTGTATGGGTACTTATCATTAATGTACGTAGCTGAAATTACACAGGGCCTGAAGAATTTTTGAAGCATTGAGCTAAGGTTAATTGCTGAATGATGGGACTAATACTTTGACACAGTCAGTCTCTGTCTCTTCCGATCATGAGGGTTGAGAATAGCTGGTAGAAAGTATTGATGCCTGTTGATGGTAGGCAGGCATTATGTTCTTCAGGAAGATATCAAGATGGATTATCTACCTTTATTATCATTTGGCTGACTGGAAGCTGCAGCTCACTGCTGTTGCACAACATTGTGAGAGAGCATTGTGCCACATATTGGTAGTCCAGGAAAATATCAAAATTCAAAATTCGGAGTCGGGTTTCTTTCTTTTTTTTGAGATGGAGTCTCACTCTGTTGCCAGGCTGGAGGCAGTGGCACGATCTCGGCTCACTGCAACACCTCCGACTCCCTGGTTCAAGTGATTCTCCTGCCTCAGCCTCCCGAATAGCTGGGATTACAGGCACGCACCACAATGCCCAGCTAATTTTTGTATTTTTAGGAGAGACGGGGTTTCACCATGTTGGCCAGGATGGTCTTGATCTCTTGACCTTGTGATCCGCCCTCCTCGGCCTCCCAAAGTGCTAGGATTACAGGCGTGACCCACTGCGCCCATCCTGGAGCATGGTTTCTAATGAATGGATATCACTTTCACACCACCATAAAGCTGAAAAATGGTTGAACCATTGTAACTTGGAAACAGTTTGTATTCTGGTATGCACTGTTTTATTATCACTATTCAGAATATTTATGTCTTGTTTTTGTATTTCCACTGTCATCCTTGTGTTTGGTTTTTTTTCTTGCTGATTTGTTCCAATTCTTTGTAGATTCTGGATATTAGTCCTCTGTTGGATGCATAGTTTGTGAAGATTTTCTCCCACTCTGTGGGTTGTCTGTTTACTCTGCTGATTATTTATTTTGATGTGCAGAAGGCTTTCAGTTTAATTAAGTCCCATCTATTTATCTTTGTTGTGTTTGCTTTTGGGTTCTTGATTGTGAAGTCTTTGCCTAAGCCAATGTCTAGAAGGGTTTTTCCAATCTTATCTTCTAGAATTTTTATGGTTTCAGGTCTTAGATTTAAGTCTGTGAACCATCTTGAGTTGATTTGTTTATAAGGTGAGAGATGAGGATCCAGTTGCATTCTTCTACATGTGGCTTGCCAATTATACCAGCACCATTTGTTGAATAGGGTGTCCTTTCCCCACTTTATGTTTTTGCTTGCTTTGTCAAAGATCAGTTGGCTGAAAGTATTTGGCTTTATTTCTGGGTTCTCTATTCTATTCCATTGGTCTATATGCCTATTTTTATACCAGTACCATGCTGTTTTGGTGACTATGGCCTTATAGTATAGTTTGAAGTCGAGTAATGTGATGCCTCTAGATTTATTCTTTTTGCTTAGTCTTGCTTTGGCTATGTGGGCTCTTTTTTGGTTCCATGTGAATTTTAGCCTTGTTTTTTCTAGTTCTGTGAAGAATGATGGTGGTATTTTGATGGGAATTGCATTGAATTTGTAGGTTGCTTTTGGCAGTATGGTCGTTTTCACACTGTTGACTCTATCATTCATGGTGAACAGCAGGGGGTGTGGGTAGGACCCATGGGAGACAGACTTGTTTCTTCTTTGTGGTCGACTGCAGCTTGTTGGAGGTGTGGATAAAGCACTGGGGTCTTTGCTCCTTTGTTAGTTCAAGGGTAGCAGGGGTAGTACCACTGTAGAGGCAGTGGCAGAGGGGCTTTTGGTTGACCCTGGGGGCTCCATCTCCAGGTGGAGCTGCTATTACTGGGAATGTTCAGCCTGGGGGATGGAGCAGCTGTACTGCTGGTGTGAGGTTAGGGCTCTGCTTGTTGGGGATCAGGGGGTTTAGGGCTCACTGGGAGAAGAGACTGGTCTCCTCTCCATATGGGAACTGTGGCATGCTGTAAGTTCAGGTGCAGCCTTCAGGCGCTTTGTTTCTTTCCAAGCCTGAGGACAGCATGGATAGAACTGCTGCTGTGACAGGGGCAGAGAGGCTGCCGTTTGCCTCTGGGAGCCTCTCCCTAGGGAAAGTCTGGGCCACTGCCAGTAGGTAAGCTCAGCTGTGGGTGGGGCAACTGATCTGCAGTTATGAGCTGGGTGCTGTGCCTGGTGGAGTGGGTGGTGGGGGTTCCCAGGGGAGGGGGCTGGATTCCTCTCTGTATGGTGGCTGTGGTGTGCTGAAGGTGCCACTGTAGTGATTAGACTCTTAGTTCCTTCTGCAGCCCAAGGGCTGTTATGGTGGTACCACTACAATTGCAGTGGTTGTGAATTGACTCTGGTATTTCCTCCTTGGAGAAATGCTGGGCTACTTCTTATTGAAGTGGTCAGGTCGGGGGCAGGGTAGTTGTACAGGAGTCCCAGGCCAGGCGGCCCTGCTTGGTAAGGAGAAGTGAGGACTGAAAACTGCAGGAAGAAAAATGCAGCCACTCTTCTGTGAGGCAGGTGCTCTGTGCTGGGGGTTCAGACCAACCCCTGGTCCCTGTGGACTCTCCAGGGTGAGGGCTGCGAGATTGGTTTTCTTATTAGATGATCTGTTTAATGCTGAAAGTGGGGTGTTGAAGTCCTTCACTATTATTATATTTGAGTCTACCTCTCTGTTTTGATCTAGTAGTATTTGCTTTATGAATCTGGCTGCTCCAGTGTTGGCTGCATATATATTTAAAATTGTTATATCCTCTTTCTGGATTGATTCCTTTATCGTTGTATAATAAGCATTTTTGTCTTTTTTCTAAAGCTAGTTTTGACTTAAAGTCTGTTTTGTCTGACAGAAGTATAGCTACTCCTACTCATTTTGGTTTCTGTTCATGGAATACCTTTTTCCATCTCTTTTCTTTTAGTTAATATGTGTTTTACAGGTAAAGTGCATTTGTTCAGGGAAGCACATAGTCAGATCATAGTTAAAATTCATTCAGTCAGTCTATATCTTTCAGGTGGAGAATTTAGAAGAAATATATATTTTTTAAAATTAGTTAATTTTTTATTTTTGTTTGTTTTTTGTAGAGATAGGGTTTCACTGTGTTGACCAGGCTGCACTTGAACCTCTGACCTCAAGCAATCCTTCTGCCTTGGCCTCCCAAAGTGCTGGAATTATAGTCATGAGCCACCACACCCAGCCCCTAAGTGGACATTTAATCCATGTACATTCAAGGTTATTATTGTCTATATTTGATATAATCAAATACTTAGTCATTTTTAAATTATTTTAATAGTTTCAAATATATTTGTTAAATTTGCTCTATTTGAATCAGGATCTAAAGAAGTTTCAAAGTTGCATCAGCTAATATATCTTTTTAGTTTTTAAAAATATATATGAATTCCTTTCTCCTGCTTTTTAGCTCTGTGTATTTGCTGAATAATCCAGGATATTCATCCTGTTGAATATTCCATACCTTGTGATTATCTTATTAAACCCTACGGTGTTCTTGCATGTTTCTCTCTTCGACGTATTTCCTGTATATTGTCATAAAATAGAGAATATTTACCAATTAGGCTCATTTCTAGTTGGTTCTATGTGCTCCATATTATACTTTATGTGTATTCACTTCATGTGACATATAAAAATTGATCAGTAGGTTCAGGTATTTTCAGCTGATTCATTCCATATATGTTTTCTTCTGAAACAGTTATTCGTCATTTTAGCTTCTATTGGTTGTTATCTTAGGCCCATTAATTCATTGGGTTCCAAATGAATTTGTCTGTATGTTAGTGTCCCATGAAACAATTCTTTTCTCCGATGTTTTATAACTTAATTAAAAAGCCAGATCTTGATTTTTAGCAGTTGTAATTTTTTTCTGTTAATTTAATTACATTTTTATATTACATAAAACAGCTACATGATTTCAAAGTCAAAAATATAAAATAAGATGTATTCAGAATAACTTTTATCCCTGTGCCTTGCCCTGTTTCCTCCTCCTGCCATAAGAAAATTATATATGTATTATGTTTTTGCCATTTTAAGTATGCTTATTTAAACATTTATAAAATATATACTTATATATGCATGTAAATCCAATGTATTTATCCCTGTTTTAACATAAAAATAGCATTCTGGTGTCACTTTTTTGTTTCTTTTCAGTTAAGGTATACCTTGTAGATTACTTTAGAGTAGTATTTGGAGATATTTCTCTCTCATTTTATAGTTGCTTCATACTCTATTGCGTACAAGTTTTGCAAGTAGTACTCACTAATTGTCATTTGGTTATTTTCCTTTTTTTTTTTTTTTTTTTTTTGAGATGGAGTCTTGCTCTGTCATCCTGGCTGGAGTGCAGAGGCACGTTCTGGGCTCACTGAAACCTCTGCCTCCCAGGTTCAAGCGATCCTCCCACCTCAGCCTCTCAAGTAGCTGGAATTACAAGTGTGCACCACCACGCCCAGCTAATTTTTGTATTTTTGGTAGAGATGGGGTTTCGCCATGTTAGCCACGCTGGTCTTGAATTCCTGGCCTCAAGTGATCTGCCCGCCTCAGCCTCCCAAAATGCTGGGATCACAGGCATGAGCCACCACGCCCGGCCTACTTTCCGTTTACTATGAAAAACAATGCTTCAATGAATAGACTTGTGTGCATCAATTATTTTGTATTTTTGCCAATATATCTTTAGGATAGAAGTAGGATTGCTAGACCAAAAGTCAGTACCATGTAAATTTTTTAAGATATTGCCAAGAGTTGTACCATTTTGTATTCTCACCAACAATGCATAAGAGTGCCTCTCTCGGTGTTTTAGACATGAAGTCCTTGCCCATGCCTATGTCCTGAATGGTAAAGCCTAGGTTTTCTTCTAGGGTTTTTATGGTTTGAGGTCTAACGTTTAAGTCTTTAATCCATCTTGAATTGATTTTTGTATAAGGTATAAGGAAGGGATCCAGTTTCAGCTTTCTACATATGGCTAGCCAGTTTTCCCAGCACCATTTATTAAATAGGGAATCCTTTCCCCATTGCTTGTTTTTCTCAGGTTTGTCAAAGATCAGATAGTTGTAGATATGCGGCATTATTTCTGAGGGCTCTGTTCTGTTCCATTGATCTATATCTCTGTTTTGGTACCAGTACCATGCTGTTTTGGTTACTGTAGCCTTGTCGTATAGTTTGAAGTCAGGTAGCGTGATGCCTCCAGCTTTGTTCTTTTGGCTTAGGATTGACTTGGCAATGCGGGCTCTTTTTTGGTTCCATATGAACTTTAAAGTAGTTTTTTCCAATTCTGTGAAGAAAGTCATTGGTAGCTTGATGGGGATGGCATTGAATCTGTAAATTACCTTGGGCAGTATGGCCATTTTCACGATATTGATTCTTCCTACCCATGAGCATGGCATGTTCTTCCATTTCTTTGTATCCTCTTTTATTTCCTTGAGCAGTGATTTGTAGTTCTCCTTGAAGAGGTCCTTCACGTCCCTTGTAAGTTGGATTCCTAGGTATTTTATTCTCTTTGAAGCAATTGTGAATGGGAGTTCACTCATGGTTTGGCTCTCTGTTTGTCTGTTGTTGGTGTATAAGAATGCTTGTGATTTTTGTACATTGATTTTGTATCCTGAGACTTTGCTGAAGTTGCTTATCAGCTTAGGAAGATTTTGGGCTGAGACAATGGGGTTTTCTAGATATACAATCATGTCGTCTGCAAACAGGGACAATTTGACTTCCTCTTTTCCTAATTGAATACCCTTTATTTCCTTCTCCTGCCTAATTGCCCTGGCCAGAACTTCCAACACTATGTTGAATAGGAGTGGTGAGAGAGGGCATCCCTGTCTTGTGCCAGTTTTCAAAGGGAATGCTTCCAGTTTTTGCCCATTCAGTATGATATTGGCTGTGGGTTTGTCATAGATAGCTCTTATTATTTTGAAATACGTCCCATCAATACCTAATTTATTGAGAGTTTTTAGCATGAAGGGTTGTTGAATTTTGTCAAAGGCCTTTTCTGCATCTATTGAGATAATCATGTGGTTTTTGTCTTTGGCTCTGTTTATATGCTGGATTACATTTATTGATTTGCGTATATTGAACCAGCCTTGCATCCCAGGGATGAAGCCCACTTGATCTTGGTGGATAAGCTTTTTGATGTGCTGCTGGATTCGTTTTGCCAGTATTTTATTGAGGATTTTTGCATCAATGTTCATCAAGGATATTGGTCTAAAATTCTCTTTTTTTGTTGTGTCTCTGCCTGGCTTTGGTATCAGAATGATGCTGGCCTCATAAAATGAGTTAGGGAGGACTCCCTCTTTTTCTATTGATTGGAATAGTTTCAGAAGGAATGGTACCAGTTCCTCCTTGTACCTCTGGTAGAATTCGGCTGTGAATCCATCTGGTCCTGGACTCTTTTTGGTTGGTAAGCTATTGATTATTGCCACAATTTCAGCTTCTGTTATTGGTCTATTCAGAGATTCAACTTCTTCCTGGTTTAGTCTTGGGAGAGTGTATGTGTCCAGGAATTTATCCATTTCTTCTAGATTTTCTAGTTTATTTGCGTAGAGGTGTTTGTAGTATTCTCTGATGGTAGTTTGTATTTCTGTGGGATCAGTGGGACAAAAGCAATGGCAACAAAAGACAAAATTGACAAATGGGTTCTAATTAAACTAAAGAGCTTCTGCACAGCAAAAGAAACTACCATCAGAGTGAACAGGCAACCTACAAAATGGGAGAAAATTTTCGCAACCTACCATCTGACAAAGGGCTAATATCCAGAATCTACAATGAACTCAAACAAATTTACAAGAAAAAAACAATCAACCCCATCAAAAAGTGGGTGAAGGACATGAACAGACACTTCTCAAAAGAAGACATCTATGCAGCCAAAAAACACATGAAAAAATGCTCATCATCACTGGCCATCAGAGAAATGCAAATCAAAACCACAATGAGATATCATCTCACACCAGTTAGAATGGCAATCATTAAAAAGTGAGGAAACAACAGGTGCTGGAGAGGATGTGGAGAAATAGGAACACTTTTACACTGTTGGTGGGACTGTAAACTAGTTCAACCATTGTGGAAGTCAGTGTGGCGATTCCTCAGGGATCTCGAACTGGAAATACCATTTGACCCAGCCATCCCATTACTGGGTATATACCCAAAGGACTATAAATCATGCTGCTATAAAGACACATGCACACGTATGTTTATTGCGGCATTATTCACAATAGCAAAGACTTGGAACCAACCCAAATGTCCAACAATGATAGACTGGATTAAGAAAATGTGGCACATATACACCATGGAATACTATGCAGCCATAAAAAATGATGAGTTCATGTCCTTTATAGGGACATGGATGAAACTGGAAATCATCATTCTCAGTAAACTATCGCAAGAACAAAAAACCAAACACCGCATATTCTCACTCATAGGTGGGAAGTGAACAATAAGATCACATGGACACAGGAAGGGGAATATCACACTCTGGGGACTGTTGTGGGGTGGGGGGAGGGGGGAGGGATAGCATTGGGAGATATACCTAATGCTAGATGACGAGTTAGTGGGTTCAGCGCACCAGCATGGCACATGTATACATATGTAACTAACCTGCACAAGGTGCACATGTACCCTAAAACTTAAAGTATAATTAAAAAAAAAAAAAAAAGAGTGCCTCTCTCTACAGCTTCATCAACAGGTTGGATTATCAAATATTGAGGTCAGATATTTGATATTTTATAGGTTAGAACTGATATTTAAGTATCATTTTACTTTGCATGCATCTTAATCTGAGAGACTTGAACATTTTTTTCATATATTTAAAGATAGTTTAACATGTGCTGGTGAGGCTACAGAGAATGGGGAACACTTCTACACTGCTGGTGGGAATGCAACTTAGTCCAGCCACTGTGGAGAACAGTCTGGGGATTTCTCAAAGAACTAAGAGTTAAACTACCACTCGATCCAGCAATTCCATCACCGCATATATGCCCAAAGGAAAATACATTGTTTTACCAAAAAGACACATGAACTTGTATGGGTTGTCCCAGTGCTATTCACAATAGCAAAGACATGGAATCCACCTGGGTGCCCAACAACTTTGGACTAGATAAAGTAAATGTGGTACAAATCCACCACAAAATATATGCAGCTAATAAGAAGAAAGTCACATCCTTTGCAGCAGCATGAATGCAGTTGGAGGCCATTATCCTAAGTGAATTAACACTGAAACAGAAAACCAAATACCACATGTTCTCACCTACAAGGGGGAGCTAAACATCGAGTACACATGGACATAAAGATGAGAAAAACAGACACCACAGAGTAGCAGAGGGAGGATGGAGGAAGAGGGGAAAGAGTTGAAAAACTACATATTGGGTATTATTCTTGCTACCTGGGAGGTGGGATCATTTGTACTCCAAACCTTAGTATCATGCAATATACCTTTGTCTCAAACCTGCACATGTACCCTCTGAACCTATAATGAAATTAGAAAGAAAACCCCAAATATGGTCATTGTAGTCCAGAAGCTAAGATGTGGTATAACTGAATGGTTTATCAATTAGGAATGGATGTAAAAGTAACAATCTCTGTTCTTGATTTTAAGACCAGGTCTATGTGCCACATTTTATCTAGTCTAACATTGACGGGCATTTGGGTTGGTTCCAAGTCTTCCCTATTGTGAATAGTGCTGCAATAAACATACCTGTGCATGTGTCTTTATAGTAGAATGACTTACAATCGTTTGGGTATATACCCAGTAATGGGATTGCTGGGTCAAATGGTATTTCTAGTTTTAGATCCATGAGGAAACACCACACTGTCTTCCACAATGGTTGAACTAATGTACGCTCCCACCAACAGTGTAAAAGCATTCCTATTTCTCCACATCCTCTCCAGCATCTATTGTTTCCTGACTTTTTAATGATTGCCATTCTAACTGGTGTGAGATGGCATCTCATTGTGGTTTTGATTTGCATTTCTTGCAGCCATAAAAAAGAATGAGTTCATGTCCTTTGCAGGGACATGGATGAAGCTGGAAACCATCATTCTCCGCAAACTAACACAAGAACAGAAAACCAAACACCGCATGTTCTCACTCATAAATGGGAGTTGACCAATGAGAACATATGGGCACAGGGAAGGGAATATCACACACCAGGGCCTGTCGGGAGGTGGGAGGCAAGGAGAGGGATAACGTTAGGAGAAATACCTAATGTAGATGGTGAGTTGATGGGTGCAGCAAACAACCATGGCACGTGTATACCTGTGTAACAAACCTGTACATTCTGCACATGTATCCCAGAACTTAAAGTATTAAAAAAGACCAGGCCTAATTCAGATAATATGTATGTATGTATGTATGTATGTATGTATATATGTGTGTATATATATATACACATATACACACATATATGTATATATATAAAAGAGTAACATATTTTACTACATAGATTCCAAACTTTTCTGCCTGCCTCCTTCCCAGGGGAGGGATGTCCATAACTTCTGGTCAAATTTCAGGAGAAATTCTGAATATACTGGTTTCTCCCATGGCGTTGTACACATTAATGCCCTTAGCAGTTAAATGAATTATGAATAAATTAGGGGTAAATTTTACAAATAAATGAAAAATAAAAGTTTTCTGCCTACAACTGTAAAAAAAAAAAAAAAGACTGATTCTCCTTATGTATGAACTGTAAGTTTAACTGTTTTGCCCATTTTCCTATTAATATTTTGGGTTTTGTTTTAGAAGTTCCCTATGTGTTAGAAGTACTAGTCTATTATGTGAGTTACAAGTAGTTTCTTCTCACTTTTAAATTTTCTCATAGTTTTATTACGCATTAAAAATTAATTTGATAGTCAATGTTATCCATCTTTACCATATTCATAGATTATAAAAACATTAACTTGTTTTCTTTTAATATTTGCATAGTTTTTTTGAAAAAAGAGTTATGTCTTGAATTCACTTAGAGATTGTCCTGGCATTTGGTGTAGCAAATAAATTAAATATATCTTTTCCCATATTGCTATCCAATTATCCCACCATCACATTAGTAGGCCTTTCCCCCCTGCACTGATTTGAGATACTGTCATTATTATTTACTACTTTTATTATGTGTTTTTAATCTGCTTATAAATTTTCTATTCTACTTTTCCTAAGATAAACATAATTTTGACCCTCTTATCATCTGACTCTCCTTATCTATTAATTCAAGTCACATTTTGACAAACTAGATTCCTTTTTTCTTAGAATATTTAGTGTTCAATTTTATTCTGGCTCAGTGATTCTCCCTGGAAAGAGAAGATATTTGTCAGAATCATTTGTTAAGGTTTTTTTTTTTCAATTTATATTTTCCTTCTATCTTAAATTTTCATCATGCCTTTCTAGGGTGGTAAGGTGGAAGTATATGAGTACACACTTGCACACAAATATACACACTTCCACTCACAAGTACAGTATCCCAAATGAGCATCTGTTAAGATTGGGATGTGTCATATTTCACAAGAATGTTGGGAAAAAGTAAAGTTTGAAACTTTTGGCTTTGTTAATATATAGGATTTTAATAGTATCTAATGTTTATTCATGCTTAATATGTCTCGAAGTGGGCTATTTGATTTATATCTATTTTGTCATTTTCCTTCATAATAACCGTGCATAATAGGTATAATCTCCTGTTTATAAATGTAGAAACTAAAGCTCATGAAAGCTACGTAATGTGCCCAAAATCATGATTAATAAGAGTCAGTAGAGTTGAATCCAGCTCTTTGTTTTTTACTTTAAAGCCTGTGGTTTTAAACATTAACCATGGAAAATGACATAGATGGATCCAAGTAATATACTTTGTGCCAACGTGATGAGAGCCTGGATCCCTCTAAATTCTTTCTACTGCTTATGAGCAGTTATACCACAGATGTCTAGGACCTAGAAGGCACATTTCACATTGGCAAACTTACTCTTCCACTCACTCCTGATAATGCCCTCATGGATTCTGGGTTGTTATAGTGGTGGGAGGTGAAGTATAAACTTATAATGGGAGGCGTTTGTTTTTCAACCTCTTAAAAGTTGACATATATCTCCTTACCACTAAGCATATATTTTTTAAATTAAGATGTGACAGTTCTTTTTTTATGTTTTTCACAAAATGGACCAAATAAATTTTTTTTTAAATTTATAAGCTAGGCTATATTTTCTCTCCTTTCTTCTACTAAACTTAGGGTCACACAGGAAGGAACAGATGTACACAAATACTAATATATTTATGCCTTTCTTTGTTCTAAGAATTAGCAAAAGAATATTTTGAAAGCATAATAACTTTGTATCTGTATTCCAAAATATAACACACAAGTTGTTGAAAGATAAATTGAGGCAATGTATGTGGAAGTTCCTAGACAATTAATAAATTATATGGGAATGGAGGGCACAATTTTCATGAGCTTTACTAAATAACTTACCAACTTCACTATATTTTGTGTCATTATCTGAGATTAATCTCACAGTTATATAAGATC